>NC_000022.11:35073200-35224715 GCF_000001405.40 Homo sapiens | reverse complement strand
ATGTGAAGATGAGGTGACATAGTGGGGATAAAATGCATAGCAGAGGCCAGGCATGGTGGCTCATGCCCGTAATCTCAGCACTTTGGGAGGCTGAGGCAGGCAGATCACTTCAGGTCAGGAGCTCGAGACTGTCATGGCCAACATGGTGAAACCCTGTCCCTAGTAAAAATACAAAAGTTATCTGGGCGTGGTGGCACGTGCCTGTAGTCCCAGCTGCTTGGAAGGCTGAGGCAGGAGAATCATTTGAACTTAGAGGCGGAGGTTGCAGTGAGCCAAGATCGCATCACTGCACTCCAGCCTGGGCGACAGAGAGAGACCCTGTCTTAAAAAAATAAAAAATAAAAAAGCATAGCCGAGAGCCTGATTATAGTAAGTGCTCAATAAATATTAGTTGTTGCTACCACTGTTACTGATACCCATACAGAGCTCAATGTAAGGAGTCAGGAATGTTTCTGTTGTACACACATCAGGTGGGTGGCAGTCCAATGACCACAACCAAGGAAGATTTAACACAGGGATTTCATTGCTTGCAACAAGGAAGGAGGACATTGGGGACAGTGCCCAAAGCAGTGCGTCCCCAAACAAAGGTGAAAACAGGGCATTTATTAGGCTGATTAGCTGAGCCATTATATGTACAGGTGCAGTTGCCGAGCATGCTTCTATGGACGTCACATCCATAGAAAACAGCCAATAAGCTCCTCCCTGGATGGGGTTTTTTAGTGTGGTGATGAGGATAATTCCCCAAAGTTCACTCGAATTCAGGCATCTCTGGAGCTAACCAGTTTTGGTTTTGCCAGGGTTAGGCTTCTTTTTGAAACTTTTGAAACAACAAAAATTCAAAATGCAACAGTTACAACTGGGTACTTTTTGGACAATGAGTATCCCCAAATCCGGGGATCCTGGGTTACATTTTGATGGAGGAGGTGATGCTCATTTAGAGATTTGAGCAGTGTTGGTGCACCTGAGTCAGGAAAGGGACTGAAGTGCAGAGGAGGAAGGATGAACAAAGGCTCAGAGTGGGCAGAAGCTTCAACAACAGACATTTATTTTCTCATGGTTCTCAGGGTTAGAAGTCCATGATCAGGGTTCAAGCCAATTCCATTTTTGGTAAGGACTCTCTTCCTGGCTTGCAGACAGCTTCCTCTTGCTGTGTTCTTGCATTGCCTTGCTTTTGTGCATGTGCAAACAGAAATTGAGATCTCTGAGTGTCTCTTCCTCTTCTTTTCTTTTCTTTCTTTCTTTCTTTTTTTTTTTTTTTTTTTTTGAGACAGAGTCTCACTCTGTCACCCAGGCTGGAGTGCACTGGTGCCGTCTTGGCTCACTGCAACCTCTGCCTCCGGGGTTCAAGTGATTCTCCTGCCTCAGCCTCCTGAGTAGCTGGGATTACAGGCATGTACCACCACACCTGGCTAATTTTTGTATTTTTAGTAGAGACGGGGTTTCACCATGTTGGTCAGGCTGGTCTTGAACTCCTGACCTCAAGTGATTCACCCACCTTGGCCTCCCAAAGTGCTGGGATTGCAGGCGTGAGCCACTGCACCTGGCCCCTTCTTTATCTTTTTTAAAGACAAGGTCTCACTCTGTCTCCCAGGCCGGAGTGCAGTGGTGCAACCACAGCTCACTGCAGCCTCAAACTTCTGGGCTCAAACAATCCTCCCACTTCAACCTCCTATGTAGCTAGGACTACAGGCGAATGCTGCCACGCCTGGCTAATTTTTAAATTTTGTGTAGAGACGATGTCTCACTGTTTCCCAGGCTGGTCTTGAACTCCTGGCCTCAAGTGATCCTCCTGCTTCAGCCTCCCAGAGTGCTGGGATTACAGGCATGCACGATGGTGCCCAGCCTCTCTTCTTATAAGGAAACCAATCCTATCAGATTAGGCCCTGCCTTTATGACTCTAATCACCTCCTTAAAGATCCCATCTCCAAATACAGTCACATTAGGGGTCAGGGCATCAACATATGAATTTTTTTTTGGGGGGGGGACACAAACATTCAGTTTATGACAGAGTCATTGGAATACTCGATCTATGGCATGTTTCCCTACTTATTAGCTGTGTGACCTTAGGATCTATAAAATTAGGTCAGTAGTGACTGACTCTTGGGACTTTTGTATGGATTAATCCAGGGAATATGTTGTGTTGGAGTGACAGGAAATGTTGAAGCCTGGGGTTGTTTAGGAAAATGATGGAGCAGGACACAGCTCATAGCAGTAGGAGGAGAGCAATGGGGGTGCAGGAGCATTTTTGGCACCCACGAGTGAAGAGGTTGCCTGTCCCAGTGACCCAGAGAGTCTCTGGAGCAGTCGGTACTCAGGTGTGTGCAGAAATTTTAACTGAACCTGTCCAAGACTTCCACTTCTGTTGCTGTGGACAACCTATGCTGCAAGAGCTATGGGGGCCTTTTGTATCAAAAGATGTTTTGTATGCCACCAGCCAATCGAAATGAGACATGACAAATCTCATCAGTCCTTTCTCAGTTCAGTACATTCTGACTCCTTCCTTAGCAAGAGTATGAATGCAACATGAAAAGGAAAATTGAATGAGCCAACAAGGCTGGACAACAAGCTGACTGTAGATCCATGAACCTCAGGAATGGTCTTTAGTGGCTCGGGTTTACAGCATGGCAGTAGTCGTGTATGGAACAGTCCCATCTTGCACAAGACTGGCATCTCAAAGCTATCACTTCCAATTGACTATTGACAATGTTAAAAAATTTATAATTCATATGAATTGTGGGTCACCTTGTGTCCAGGCTCAACACAAATCTCATGCTGCAAAAAAACCTCAGTCTAGAATTCGAAAGCAACTGAAAAGGCAATTTAAGTTTTTAGTATAGTCCTTTTAAGAATGGTGCAGGAGGCCGGGCGCGCTGGCTCACACCTATAATTCCAGCACTTTGGGAGGCCGAGGTGGGTGGATCATGAGGTCAGGAGTTCTAGACCAGCCTGACCAACATGGCAAAACCCCGTCTCTACTAAAAATACAAAAATTAGCCAGGTATGGTGGCGCATACCTGTAATCCCAGCTACTCGGGAGGCTGAGGCAGGAGAATTGCTTGAACCCGGTAGGCGGAGGTTGTAGTGAGCTAAGATTGTGCCATTGCACTCCAGCCTGAGCAACAGAGTGAGACTCTGTCTCAGAAAAAAAAAAAAAATGATGCAGGGAATTTACATAAAAAGGCAAAGAAAAACTTTAAACTCCTTTATCCTTCTTTCTCATAGTTTTAATATCTCCCCCATACAAAGCCTTCTTCGCTCCATCTTCCCAGCTGACATTACTCTTTCTTCCCCCTTTCCATGTAGTTAAATTACTTATTTATTCATTTAAATTTGTATTGTGTCTCTCCTACGTGCCAAGATCTGTGATGAACATGATGACAGAACAGAGTTATGGTTCTAGCTTTCTCAAGTTTATATCCTTTGAAGTTGTGGGTATCTAGTAACTTTTCCACCCTCCCCTGGAAGATTCCTAAGAGCCACTTGTCTTACATGAAATTGATAACTCAGACAGGATCATCAGGACAAGAAAAACAGATCTTATATTTGTTTATATTTTATTTTATGTATTTTATTTTATTTGAGATGGAGTTTTGTTCCTGTCACCCAGGCTGGAGTGCAATGGCGCGATCTCGGCTCACTGCAACTTCCACCTCCTGGGTTTAAGCAATTCTCCTGCCTCAGCCTCCTGAGTAGCTGGGATTACAGGCACCTGCCACCACGCCCAGCTAATTTTTGTATTTTCAGTAGAGAAGGGGTTTCCCCATTTTGGCCAGACTGGTCTTGAACTCCTGACCTCAGGTGATCTGCCATCCTCAGCCTCCCGAAGTGCTGGGATTACAGGTGTGAGCCACTGCACCCAGCCTGATCTTATATTTGAAAGGAGCTTTGGAGGTCACCTGGTCCAGTGTCCAGGGGTCTAGACTGAGAGGACCCCCTCTGCAGTCTTCCTGGAATCACCCAGGCTTTGCCTTGGCTTATCTAGCCTGTCATCTGCAGGGGACAGTGGCCTTTCCTACATTGTTCACTGTAGTAACCCCCACATCTGGACCATGAGGTGCTCAGTTAACAATTGTTGACTTTTGGACGAATGAGGAACTCTTGATTCTAGGAGGCAGCCTGTGCCTTGATTGGACAACTGTAACTTTTAAAGAAAATCCATGACATTGAGCCCAAATCTGCCTTCCTATAACATAGCTCCATCATTCTGAGCCCTACTGGCACAGAATGGCAGCTGCCAACAAAGCTGCCCTCTCCAGGTTGGATTCTAAGACAACTGTAGCTCCTTTTAGGAATTGCCTTTGGTGTTTATTTCTGAGTCACACAAAGGAATCTAGCCTGGTGTTTTTTCTTAATTTTAGTGTCTTGGAGACTTTTCTGTGTTGGGATTTGTAGTGATCTCGTATTTAGACCAAGGGAAACTCAGAGGTCTAGGGAGGGCATAGTGGGGCTGCAGAAATCACGTGGTAAGCTGACTATCTCTCAGGGCTCATCACTGTCCGATCTACAGATTTAAATTGGATGTATAAATGTTGTTGCTAGCTGCTAGATTTTTTTCATTTATTTATTTAATTATTAATTCAACCACTGATTTATTCAACAAACATTTAACTAGCATTTACCGCGTGCCAAATCCTATGTTAACAATGTGATACTGAGATGAATGGGGAACCCCTTTCTCAAGAAGCTCTTAGCCTAGTGGGGGAAACAGACAAGAAGATGAATAGTTGCAACATAATGTGATGCATACTGTAATAATCATCTTCATAAGGAACAATGGGTGTTCTGGGTGGGGGTGGGGGCAGAGTCCATTCTGATTAGCAGATGGCATCGGGGAAGTCCTTACTGAAGAACTGACACTTGCTGAACTGAATTTTCGAGGTGGAACTGGTAGATGGCATGAAAGAAGTTGTTGGAAGACATTCCCAGGTAAGGGTAGAGAAAATGCAAAAGCATGTGGGTAGGGCGTGAAGGAGCCTGGTCCGTTTGGGAAACTAGGTGTGTATTTGGATGGCAGGGTTGGAGCATATGTGTTGCAGAGTCACAGTGTGGACGGGAGGCAACGGCAGACCTCAGAGGGCAACCCCTCCCCAGCTCAGAGCCACTCTTGATGTTCTCAACATGCTTTCCCTTAACTCTCTATGTTTAATGTGGAGTTATTGGCTCTATGCAGATCAGAAAAGTGTAGCCAGATTTTTAAAAAAATCATAAAAAATGTGAATATAATTAACAGTTGAGATAGTATAATGCATTTATAGATCCATCACTCATATTAAATAATTACCATGTTTATTCATTTTTTTCCTTTTCTTGGCTGAAATATTTGTGGTCATTTTATGCAGCAGTAGATAACTAATACAGATATGCTTGGCTGCAAGTAACAGAGAACCTGCTAGCAGTGGCTTAAAGAGTAAGGAGGTTGATTGTTAGTGAACAGGAAAGCAGATACTTCCAGATCTGTTTCAACCACTCAGTGATGTTGTCCTAGACCCAGATCTTGATCTGTCTGCTCCATCATTCTCAGCACGCTAGGTGATGTCTTCTAAGTGAGTCATCAGATCCTCACCACAATGATCCAGCAGTAAGGAAGAGGGTGTCTCTCTCTTACTAGGGAGAAATAGCTTTCCCAGAAGCACCAAGTAGACTTCCCTGAGCGTCTCATTTTCCAGAACTGGGTCAGACGCCCATACTTGGACCTAGTATCTAGGAAAGAGAGAGAAGATTGCATGACTATTTTGGATTATATCACAATTCATGTCCTGAGGCTGGGTATTTTGCTACTGGAATAAAACTGATGTTTTATTAACAAGAAAGAAGGGAGAAATGACAACTAGAGTGGCCACCATCAATATCTGCCAGGTCAATACTGCATGTCGACAGGGGGTTATATATGACCTTTTCCACACATTAAGCCTGCACATCAGGCCTCTTACTTCAGCCTGGCAGGAGCTAGAAGCAACTTTTTCTCCCTCTGGCTGACAGCTGTTGTCACCACTGATTCCCACTGCATTGTGGAATGCAGTGCAGTGCATCTGATGATAACAGACATCCAATTCTCAGGGCTGGGACCCCTTTGAACATGTCTTTTCCCCCTAATTCAAATGAAAAGAATGCACATGTGTTATAAAAGGATGGTGGACCTCAATATAATGGGTCAGTCGATGTCAAAATCTGGCCTGTCATTATCTGCAGTGTTACATTGGGAAAAGAACTGAACTCTGTGAGCTTCAATCACCTTATCTGTAAAGTGGGTATAATAACATCTACCTTATATGGTTATTGTGAAGACTGAATAAGAAGCCACATGCTAAGCATCTAGCACAGTGCCTACTGTGTAGTGAGTACTTCTTACAGTAGTCAGGCATCTGCTGAAATAATGCTGAGTAACAAACATTCCCCAAACTTGCTGGCATACAGCCACAAGCATTTACTTTTCTTGCATGGTCCTGTGAGTCAGCTGTGGTTGTGCTGGGCTCTTCTGGGGTTGGCTGGGCTTGGCTCCAGGTTCAGGCCTGTTGCACATGTCTATTCTGGGACTAGCAGCACCAAGGACATGCTCTTCTCAAGGCACTAATGGAACCCAAGAATCCAAGCCAAACCATGCAAGTACATTGAAAGTCTCTGTCCATTTCATGTCTGCTCACATTCCACTGGCCAAGGCAAGTCACACAATGAGATTGAACCTCAATGGGGTGGGGAAATATACTCTACAGGGAGGCCCTGAGGAATCACACAATAAAGGGCATGCACTTTTATTACAGGGAGAGCATGAAGAATTGTGAACAATAATCTAATCCATCTCAGTGGAATAACACTATTATCCCTTGTGTGCAATAAATAAATGCTTATTTTAAGGCTCTGAGTTTTGGAGTTAATTGCGCAGCTTTATTGCTGCAGAAACATGACTAATACATGCTTTTCCCTCCTTCCTATAGCATCAAAGCAGAAAAATGTTGTACTACTCATTTTCTTTCCCCTAAGCCCCACTCAACAGTGTGACACTTGACTCCAGTGGAGGGATTCCTGGTTCACAGCTGGCCCTCTTAGACACACATCACCACTCTGCATTTTTTACAGTAGCCAGTCACATGAGACAGAAATTCACTTCGAACTAGTTTGGGCAAAAGAGGAATATTTTGGCTCAGATGACCATAAGGAGCACAGGGGCACAGTTGTACTTCAGGAACAATAGGAATGGGGGTTTTGAATGCTGCAAGGACTCTCTCCCCATCCTATCTTTGCTGTATTTGTTTATCAGCTTCATTCTCTCAGGCTGGCTTCATCCCCATGGTGGGGACTGTCATTGCTTAATTTCACCACCAGAAAGGGGCTGAGATTTGTTTTCCCCTCCCAGTATCCGAGGGAAGGGTTCTGACTGGCTTGGTGTGAGTCAAAGGCCAACTCTGGGCCAGTCCCTGACTGAGGCCAGGGCGGTGGGCTCCTACATCTGGCCCACCTTGAGTTAGGGCAGGGGCAGAGAGGCTGAGCAAATGGCAGCTCCCATGGTTGGGTGGTATGGAAACATCCTCTAGGATGTAGCTGTGATTTCAGACAAAGTAATGTGCCCCTACCCACTATCTCCTGAAGCCCTCAAGCTTAAGAGTGCATTGAGAAGTGGGAGGACCATTTTTATCTTTGACTTGTCAGCAGCACCCATTTGATTTTTTTTAAAAAATGTTTCTTCTTCTAAAGCTAGTGTTTGAGGTTTTCTAAAGGACTATGCAAGTGTTTTTTTTTTGTTTGTTTGTTTGTTTTTTGTTTTTTTTTTTGACGGAGTTTTCACTCTTGTTGCCCAGACTGGAGTGCAATGGCACAATCTCAGCTTGCCACAACCTCTGCCTCCTAGGTTCAAGCAATTCTCCTGCCTCAGCTGCTTCCTGAGTAGTTGGGATTACAGGCATGCACCACCATGCCCAACTAATTTTGTATTTTTTTTTAGTAGCGACAGGGTTTCCCCATGTTGGTCAGGCTGGTCTCAAACTCCTGACCTCAGGTGATCTGCCCACCTCGGCCTCCCAAAGAGCTGGGATTACAGGCATGAGCCACCATGCCTGGCCAGAACTATGCAAGTGTTTTAACCAGGGTACTCCTGGGCACTTCAGTTGGGACTTGCTGCCAAGGACCTATACACTGCTCTTGGAAACTGAGGCCTGAAAACCCACTTTCTACTGCTAGCAATTCTCTCTCTCTTTTCCTTTTTTCCAGAAAGGACAATTCACATTTTCTTTCTAGATGATATCTCGTGTGTGGCTTCATGCTATGGTTCAGTCCAGAGAATGGTTCAGATTCTCTCAGTAGGGTTGGGAGCCAGATGGACTTGTTAGGAAGGTCAGACCTGGTGAGGTTTAGCTGGGAAGGGACAAGAATGTACACTGAGCTATTGTAAATGGGCATGCTGAACTTTACACATCCACGTGAACTTACTGCTATCAACTGAGTGTTCATGTCCCACACCCCCACACGACCCCTGCCAACTGGAATTAGTGTTCTTATCAAAGAGATGCCAGAAAACTCTCTTGTCTCTTCTGCCATATGAAGATAACAGCGAGAAGACAGCCATCTAGGAACCAGGAAGTGGGTCCTCACCAAACACCAAATCTGCCCACAGTTTGATGTAGGACTTCCCAGCCTCCAGAACTGTGAGAAATACATTTCTGTTGTTTATAAACAACCTGGTCTATGGCTGTTTGTTATAGCAGCCTGAATAGACTAAGATACATCTCCAAAATGCCCCTTTGGAGAGGGGCATGTCTTAGGTCCTGGCTGGGCCTGTCTTGTTTTCCTAGAGCAGCTGATAAAGGCAGACATCTGGAAGCAGAGCCTCTGCTAAAGTGAAGTCTTCACTGGATGTAAGGACAGGTGCGGGTGCAGGGGCTAGGGCGATGTCTACTAGACCAGCAAGTCTCAAATGCACATCATGATCATTTGGGAAGTTTATAAAAATTCCAATGCCCCAGCTGAATCCCACACCAGCTACATCAGAGTCTCTAGGAATAAGGTCCAGACACCAGACATCGGACATCAGATACCAGACATCTCTAGGAGTGGGAACTAGACATTAAAACTCCGTAGGTGATTCCTATGTACAGCCACATTTGAGAACCTGTGATCATTGTAGACAGAGGTCAGCAAATATCTTCTTGGTGAGGGACCAGATAGGAGATATTTTCAGCTTAGGCAATGAAATCTCTGTTGTGATCACTTAACTCTGCTGTTGTTGTGAACACAGCCACAATGTGTAAATAAATGAGTGAGATTGTGTTTGTTTGTTTTTTTGAGACAAGGATCTTGCTCTGTTGCCCAGGCTGGAGTACAGTGGCTCATTGCAACCTTGACTTCTCAGGCTCAAGCAATCCTCCCACCTCAGCCCCCCAAGTAGCTGGGATCACAGGTAAGTGCCACCATGCCTGGCTAATTTTTTAATTTTCTGTAGAGACAGGGTTTCGTTATGTTGCTCAGGCTGATCTCAAACTTCTAGGCTCAAGGGATTCTCCCATCTCGGCCTCCCAGAGTGCTAGGATTACAGGCATGAGCCGCCATGTGCGACTGAGGTTGTGTTCTAATAAAACTTTATTTACAAAATAGGCGATAGGCTGGGTTTAGCCTGCGGGATCTAGTTTGTTGACCCCTGTCTGTTCTAGACCCTGCTACACAGTTTGGGTTACAAGTATCACCTGGGAGCTTGTTGGAAATGCAGAGTCTTGGACCCCATTCAGACCTATGGGACCAGCATGTTCATTTTAATGAGATACTCCAAATTGGTTTATATGCACATTGAAGTTTATAAAGCACTAATCCAGACCAGCAGTTCTCAAAGTGTGGTCCCTAAGTCAGTACCATCAGATTACCTGGGAACTTGTTAGAAATGCAACCCTCAGGTTCTACATCAGACCTGCTGAGTCAGGAACTCTGGATGACTCTGAGGTGCCTTAAATGTTGAGAACCATTGATCTAGACAAGTGGTTCTCAAACATTAACTCATCTGAGGAGATTTAATCCCCAGGCTTAGGCCTCACTTTGGACCAATTATCAGAATCTCTGTGATACAGACCTAGGCATCAGTATTAAAAAAAAATATCCAAGCAATTCCAAGGTGCAGGTGAGTTTGAGAACCAGTGTTATAGGAAGAATGGGTTTATCGAGAGTGTGGTCCCTCAGCCCCAGAAGCAGCTTTAGTGCAGCAGGCAAAGTCAGAAAGGCACATCCTGGGTAGCAGGCCTGTGACAGACACTGTTGGCTGAGGAGCCAACAGCTTCTCCTACCTTATTTTCCTTTTCAGAGAAACCGTGTGCTTTAGTAGATGCTGGTTCCTTTCTCAGCCTCAGGGAGGAGATCAAGATTGGCCAGGCTAGTGAATGGTTTAGGCAAGGATGTGTGGGCCAATCTTGGCCCATGGAACTGAGAGGAAGTCTGCTGTAGGGAACTCCCTTGTTTTTGCTGGATGCAATATGTGATGCCTGGAAGTGCTGCAGTCTTTTCATGCCCATGAGGCATGCTGAAACTCACAGAGCAGAAAGAAAGCAAGTACCTGAGTCCTTGAAGCTGGTGTCGAACTGCTGAGTTAACCAACCTTGGACTTCCTTGGGCAGCTTGTTACGTGAGATGATAAATTTCTTATCATCTGTATTAGTTTGTTCTCACACTGCTATGAAGAAATATTTGAGACTGGGTAATTTATAAAGAAAAGAGAGTTAATTGATTCACAGTTCTGCATGGCTGGGGAGGCCTCAGGAAACTTACAATCATGGTGGAAGGAGAAGCAAACACGTCCTTTTTCATGTGGCAGCAGGAAGGAGAAGAATGAGAGAAGTGTAGAGCGAAGTGGGGGAAAAAGCCCCTCCCCAAATCATCAGATCTTGTGAGAACTCACTCACTGTCATGAGAACAGCATGGGGGAACCACCCCCATGATTCAATCACCTCCCACGAGGCCCCTCCCCCAACATGTGGGAATTACAATTCAAGATGAGATTTGGGTGGGGACACAGAACCAGACCATATCATCATCTAAGCCACTTTTAGTTGGGTCTTCTGTTACCTGTAGCCCAGAGCATCCTAACCGATTTGGGGAATAATCACTGATTTGTGATGTCAGGATTATAGAGGTTTGTCTGAAGCTTTGCCACAGCCATCTATGGGTGGGTCAGTGAAGAAGAACTAAGATATATTGAACACCTACCTTGGGCCAACACCTTTTTCTTCTGTGATCTCATAGAGTCCTGCAGTGGAGGCTTATTGTTTCCATTTCATAAGTAGAACATAGAAAGTTTGCATTTTACTCCAGGCAAACTCAAACTCAAGTCTTTTTAATCTCAAAGTCTCTCCATGATCTACACACCACAGCAGCATCCTTTCTTTTCTGATGAGATTGTGGGATTTTAGACTGAGGCTCCTGGTCACAGACAGCCTGGGCTGGTAGGCAGCCCTCCCAACCCCTGCAAAAGCATTTAGTCACAGGGAACAATACAGGTATCTATTTATCATAAGTGGAATGCAGGTAGGAATTTATCTTGGAAAGTAGGCAATACTCTAGTTACACAAGTCAGCAGCGGGGAAGGTTCAGGCAAGGCGTGTGGGCAACTGGAGGTTGCATCCTAAAATAAGGCTGGAGGCTGCTGTCTCTTGGGCATTCCCTGGGCATCTCATAAGAGTGCAAATTCTGGTTCAAAAGATCGGGGATTCTGTATTTCTAACAAGCTCCCAGGTGATTCTGATGCTGCCAGTCTAGGGACCACCCTGAGTTTCAAGCACTTACGTCCTCCCTGCTGAGGCTCTGTTCTTACTCCATGTCTGTTTTGATGGGGGCTGAACTCACAGCAGGGGCAGAATTGTGGAAAGAGGAGAGCCCTATGGATTGGGACCCCAGCAAGAAACCAAGACCTGGTATTTTGGTGGAGCCCCTGGACTAATCTCATGCCACCATTGAAAATGGTTTGTGGAATTCCTGGTCAGGGAATCACCTCCAATCCAGTTCAGCCATCTCAGCTGGGGGAATTGAGAAGGAAATTCAGGGAAGGGTCCTCTGTGGATGGTTTCAGAAGTAGTATTTGCCTTGGGGGCAGTGTGAAATGTTGAAACATGTGTATGTGTTGGAGGCATTTGTTCATGTATGCAGGTGTGCACATGCACACTCAAGCAGGCATTCATGTGTGCAGTGGTCAAGTGGCAGGGTCCTTCTAGGTCTCTGGCTCTAGCCTTGGACAACCCATTCTTATTTTTCTGATTCTTCATTTCCTCATCTGTTAAATGGGGGTGAACCTAATGGTCACCTCTTGGGCTTCTTATAAGGATTACATGAAATCTAAGGCAAACTGCTTTTTAGACTATAAGAAGCTACCAGAAATGTGGCGGAAGATTATATATGTTTTCTCATTCACCATGCCCTCCAGACCCTTCTCCTCAGAGCCAGCAGTTGCTCACCAGGTGTTCCTAGAGGCAGCTTTGGCAGGAGACGCTCTGGGAACTTCTGACTCATGGCTGACCATGTGAAACTGCATAGCTTTGCTGCCTTCCAGCTGCTGAGGACATTTTATCTTTGTTAGGTGGATTCCTTGGCCCTTGTGCAGGGCTGCGATAATGAGTTGGGGGAAGGAAAGAAAGCTGCTGAGGCTGGCTGGACTGGTTTATGCTGGGAAGAGAAAGAAGCACAGAAAAATAAAGCTCTTAAGGAAGAGATTTTGGAGGGACACAAACATCCTCTTAAGGAAAAGATTGCACTTAAAATTAAGGCATTCATGGCACACTTGGAGCACTGCCTCCCCACAGTCAGTGTCTTCCCACCTCCTCTCTTCTTAGAGCATCCAGGCTTTGCTCAAGGGATGGGTGCCCAGGTGCTTCAGGTCCCTTCCTTTACTGGAGGAAGGGCAGGAAATGCTGATTGGTATAAACAGAACACAGAATTCCATTCTCTTGGCCAATGATGGGTCGAGGCACAGGCAGGTGAAACAAACTGCCCAGCGAGGCTGCTGTGGGCTACTGGGCAGGTTTTCTTCATCCCTCTAAAGGGGCAGAGGACAGAGACTTGTCCTTCCTGTCCTAGGGCATTGTCACATGAAGGCACGGTGCTTTGGGTTGGGGCAGCCATCTCGCAAGCATGATGGGAAAGCCGGGAGAACCACAGAGAAACCTCACAGCATGGAGCTGCTGGTTGATCCAACCTAGAAAGCCACTTTTAGTTTGGTTTCCATTAGTTTGCCATTCATCATTCATTGAGTAGTTCATTTATGTGGCAAATACTTGTCAAAGTCCCACTATGTATCAGGACCATCCAAGGGTTTGGGATAAGGCAGTGATGTCTCTCCCTCCTGGAGTCTACTTTCATGACATGGGAGGCAGAAAGGGACAAATCAATAAGACATAGAGAATTTCAGATGGTGATGGGTGCTGTGGAGAAAAATAATGTCAAGAAGGGGATCCTGGGGGTGGCCTCTCCCCTCCGTAAAACTGAATGAAGATGAGTCCAGAGGATGAAGCTACCCTGGGGGTCCTGGGCTGCTCACTGGGGCTGACACAAACAGGGATTGAGGGCATGATGGGAACAGTCCCCCCAAGACTGTTCCCAGGGGTCTCCAGACAGTTGGTAGTCTGAGGTGGTGTTGGGCCAAGGGAGAAAAGAGTAGGGGTCTTGCCAGGAGCCTGCACTGTTGCAGGGCCCCCTCTTTGCTTCATGGCAATGTGTAGCCTGGAGGGGCAACAGAGCATGGCAGATCTCCGAGGCTTCCTCTTGACTCTCGATGGCATCTGAGTGATACTACATCCTCATAAGGAATGCCCCTGTCCCTTCCACCTTGGAACTGGGTATGACCCCAAAGGGTTAGGCTTCCAGAAGTCCTCAAGTCAGTGTTTTGGGGTTTTGTCATCTGGGAAGCTATGGCCATCATCCCATTTTCCTTCTGCTTCTGTAGAAATTGAGAATCACAGAGGGGACCTGTGGGGCTCAGAGTCTCCCTTCTTATACCCCATTACCAGTTGTCTTGAGCCCTGGAAGAGCTGGTTGCCGCAGAGGTTGAATCATGGTGTTAGTCAACCTCTGGTCATGATGCAGCTCTTCAAAGACCATCCTGCCACCCCTGGGAGTCCCCACAGGAGCAAAGCCCACTCAGTATGCCCCCCCAGGCTCTTCTTGACAAATTCCAGAGTTAGCAGGAAAGGACAAGCAGGGTCAGCATTGATTGGCTTTCTGGAACCTGCCATGCTGGCAAGGGTTTATATAGGGTAGCTCCAAAGATGAGCCTCCCAGAGGCGCTTGCCCTGGTAGACTCCTGCATGGCATGGTATTGTGGAAGAGCATGGCTCTGAGTGAGTGCTCCATTCAAATTTGGCCTCTAGCTGAGTGCCTCTAGCACTTAGTAGCAGTTACTTCAGATCAATCACATAATGTCTCTGAGTCTTGCTTTTCTGTAAAAGATGAGGATGATACATACCCCTGCTATGGCCTGAATGTGTTTCTTACAAAATTCAGAGGTTGAAACCTAAACCCCAATGTGGTGATATGAAGAGCTGAGGCCTTTCAGAGGTGACTAGGTCATGAGGGTGGAGCTCTCGTGAATGGGATTAGTGCCTTTATAAAAGAGGCTCAAGTGATCTTGTTTGTCCCTTTTTACCCTTCTGTTATGTGCTGACACAAAAGGCACCATCTATGAGGAACAGGTCCTCACTGGACACTGAATCTGCTGGTGCCTTAATCCTGAACTTCTTGGCATCCAGAACTATGAGCAATAACTTTCTGTTGTTTATAAACTACCCAGCCTATGGTAGTTTATTATAGCAGCAGGAACAGACTAAGACCAAAATTGGTATTGAGAAGTGGAGCGTTGCTTTAACAAATACCTAAAAATGTGCAAGTGGCTTTGCTACTGGGTAATGGGAAGAGGATAGAAGAAGGTGGAGGTGCAAGCTAGAAAAAGCCTAGATTACTGTGAATGCAACATTAAGGGCGATTCTTGGGAGGGCTCAGAAAAGGAGAGCTGTGGGGAAAGCCTT
This sequence comes from Homo sapiens, assembly GCF_000001405.40. Classification (NCBI taxonomy): domain Eukaryota; kingdom Metazoa; phylum Chordata; class Mammalia; order Primates; family Hominidae; genus Homo; species Homo sapiens. The sequence goes on along the minus strand of NC_000022.11, from coordinate 35,209,737 downwards.
CTTTTTAGAGATTACTGAAGAGGTTGTGAACAGAGTGCTGGTAAAACATGAATGGTAAAGGGCATTATGATGAGGTCTCAGATGGAAATGAGGAATATACTATCGGAAATGGAGGAAAGGCCATCCTTGTTATACACTGGCAAAGAATGAGACTGAATTGTGCATGTGTCCTAGTGCTTTGTGGCAGGTAGAATATCTGAGTGAGTGATATGGTTTGGCTCTGTGTCTCCACCCAAATCGCATCTTGAATTGTAATCTGCACATGTCGAGGGAAGGACCCGGCGGGAGGTGATTGGATCATGGGAGTGGTTTTCCCCATGCTGTTCTCATGATAGTGAGGGAGTTCTCATGACATCTGGTTGTTTGATAAGTGTCTGGTGCTTTTCCCTGCACACACTCTCTCTCTCTCGCCTGCTGTCATGTAAGATGCACCTTGCTTTTCCTTTGCCTTCCGCCATGATTGTAAGTTTCGTGAGGCCTCCCTAGCCATGCTGAACTGGGAGTCAATTAAACCTCTTTCCTTTATAAATTACCCAGTCTCAGGTATTTCTTTCTTTCTTTCTTTCTTTTTTTTTTTTTTTTTGAGATGGAGTCTTGCTCTGCCTCTAGGCTGGAGTGCAGTGGTGCGATCTTGGCTCACTGCAACCTCTGCCTCCCGGGTTCAAGCGATTTTCCTGCTTCAGCCTCCCAAGTAGCTGGGACTACAGGCACACACCATCATGCCCAGCTAATTTTTGTATTTTCAATAGAGATGAGATTTCACCATGTTGGCCAGGAGGGTTTCCATCTCTTGACCTCGTGATCTGCCCGCCTCAGCCCCCAAAGTGCTGGGATTACAGGCATGAGCCACTGCTCCCGGCCTGGGTATTTTTTTTTATAGCAGTGTGAAAATGGACTAATACAGTGATGAAATAGGATATTTGGTAGAATTAATCTTTAAGCAAAGTGTCGAGGATGTGGCATGGCTTCTCTTGACTGCCAACAGTAAAATGTAAGAAGAGAGACACATATTAAATTTGGAATTTATAATCAAAAGGGAAGCTGAACTTAAAGATTTGGAAAATTCTTATCCTTACCATATTGTAAAGAATGAAAAGCCATGTTCAGGAGAGAACATGGAGTGTGTGGCGAAGGCTGTCATTTGATAGGAGATTAGTATGGCTCAGAAGAAGCCAGGTGCTGTTCATCAAGACTGTGGAAAAAATGACCCTGAAGACATTTTGGAGATCTCTGGGGCTGCACTACCTATCTCAGGCCCAGAATGCTAGGGCCCTAGGGGCAGAATGATTTCAGGACTCTGCTCCCTGCCTTCTGGTGCAGTACTCCTTGGAAGCCTTAGGTGTGCCTTGGTCCCTCTCTACAAAGGGCTCAGGTGGTAAACCTTGTAAGTGTCCACATAGTGCCGTCTCTGCTGCCACACAGAGTGCACAAGCTGTGGCAGCATGGCTACCTCCTCCTAGATTTCAAGGGATGCCCTAGAAAGGCTCAGGGTCAAAGCAGAGACCGCTGCAGAACAATGCCTGTGAGAATCGCCACTAGGGCAAAGCCCAGCAGAACCTTGGGGGTGGGGCTGACCCTGAGACTCCAGACCAGTAGAGCCACCGGCCAGTGATTCCAGTCTGGGAGAGCCATAGGCTTGCAACTCCAATCTGTAAGAGCTCCTGCATGAGCTGTACCCAGCAAAGTCATGGGGGGTAGGACCACTTGGAACCTTGGGAGCTCAACCCCTGCCCCAATATGTTCCAAAGATACGGAGTCAAAGATCCTCCTGCAGCCCTAAGACTTAATGTTGTTTGTCCTGTTGGGGTTTGGACTTACATGGGACAAATTATCCCTTTTTGCCTTCCTATTTCTCCTATTTGGAATGGGAATGTCTGTCCTTTGCTTGTCCCACCGTTGGGTTTTGGAAGCACACAACTTGTTTGATTTAGTGGGCTCATAGCTGGAAAGATATTTGCCTCAGGATGAATTATACCTTGAGTCTCACACAGATCTGATTTAGATAATTAGATGACACTTTGGACTTCAAAGTTGATGCTGGAAAGAAGTAAGACTTTTGGGGCTATTGAGATGAAATATATTTAGAGCGTGAGAAGGACATAATTTTGGGGACCAGGGGTGGAATACAATGGCCTGATGTTTGCGTCTCCCCAAAATTCATATATTGAAACCTGAACCCCAGTATGGTGGTATTAAGAGGTGGGGCCTTTCGGATGTGAATGAATCATGAGGGTAGGGTCCTTGTGAATGGGATTAGTGTCCTTAAAAAAGAGGCTCAAGAAAGCTTGTTTGCCCCTCTTTGCCGTTCTGTCATTTGAGGATGTAGGAGTTGCCATCTAAGAATGGGCCCTCACCAGACATGGAATATGCTGGTCCCTTGATCTTGGACTTCCCAGCCTGCAGAACTATGAGCAATACATTTCTGTTGTTTATAAATTACCCAGTTTAAGGTATTTTATTAGAGTACCCTGAAAGGACTAAGACAACCTTCAAGGGTTGTGATGGGAATAAGGGTAAGCAGGATAATGGTAGAGTTTCTGGAATGGGTAGAGGATAAAATGTTCTGTTAAGAACCTGGGCTGTTGGTAAGAACCTGAGCTGAACCACAGCTCCTCCACTTCCTAGCTGTGTGAAGTCAGGCGAGGGCATGATGTGGAGCATCAGTTTACCCATCTATGGAATGGGTGTATTGATAACAACTACATTGTGGGATTGTTAGAATCTGAGAAGATTATGCTTGTGAAGCTCTTGCATAGTGTCTGGTGCATAGTGAAGTTTCATTCAAAGTTTGCATCATTGTTATTACTATTATTTCAGGTTACATAACTTTCAATTGGAAGACTCTATCCTGGACATGTCCAAAATCTTAGGACAAGGAAAGAGAACCGAGAAATCTTGATCCCCCAGTCTCTCTTATGGTCTTAACTCCCTTCCTCTCAAACTAGGCTCTAGAGTCTCCAGCCTACCACTTGGTACCAATGAACTGGGCTGCCAATTCCAGAGCAAGGAGCAGGGGAGGAGCTATTTTAGACAGGGTGGTCAGAGGCAGCTTCTCCAAGGAGGTCACCCTTGAGTGGAGGCCCCCATGAGGTCAGCACGGGGTATTTCTGTAGAAGTCATAAACTGACTCAGTGTCAGAGAGATAGTTTATCTGGTTCAATGCTTCCCATTTAACAGGTGAGGAAACTGAGACTCAGACTAGGATCGTGGACCTAGATGGTAGAAGAGCCCAACTGTCTGCCTCCTGGGTCAGTGCTCTTTTCACTCCCCTGCACTGTTAGCTGGCTAATGTGGCAGCCTCTCCCCACTTTTCTCATTTGATAACTAATTTAGAGTGCAGCTAGGTATGTTAATGTGACCCCATTTTGGCCAGTGGGATGTGAGTGGAAGTCTGCTGGGAGGTGAGGGTAGGGCTTCTGAGAAAGCTTTTGATTTACTGGCAAAAGGGATGGGTGGATTTGTCTTTACTCTTCCCTCCCTTTCATCCTACTTGGGTGTGGTGTCTGGAGCTATAGCAGCCATCTAATAATCATGAGGGAAAGGCCAAGAGGATTGGCGGGACGCTGCCCTGACATCACTGAGCTACTGAATCGACCTGTGAGCTCCTTGTTTATATTAGTCAGACGTGCTGTTACTGGCAGCAGAAAGCATTCCTAACTGATAGAGCCTCTCTGCCTTTCCCTTTGTGAGCTCCATCTTACAGGAGAAACTTCAGACAGGAGAGGGAGCGTGCCCTTTTGTTTTCTTATTCTTTTTAGAGTCAAGCTCTTGCTCTGTTGCCCAGGCTGGAGTGCAGTGGCAAGATCATAGCTCACTGCAGCCTCACACTCATGAGCTCAAGCCATCCTCCTGTGTAGCTGGGACTACAGGCATGCACCACGATGCCCAGCTAATTTCTCTTTTTTTTAAAAAAAATTGAGATCGGGTCTTGCTTTGTTGCCTAGGCTGGTCTCAAACTCCTGGACTGAAGGAATCTTCCCACCTCGGACTCCTAAAGTGCTGGAATTACAGGCATAAGCCACTGTGCCTGGCCTGATCTAGCCATTTTTAGAAGCAGCTTTCAGTTCTCACTCACCTCAGGGGCCTCATTCCAGCCTGTGACTTACGGCTGAAAGCTCGTTACCAGTTAATAACACAGCCTGCTGCAAGATAATGCTTGCAGGCCCTCCTTGCTGAACAGTGGGCTATGAATACACAGCAATATTATCAACCCTCCCCTGGCCCCCTGAGCCTCCAGGAGCCAATAAGAATGAACCGTTTCACTCGTCCAAGAGACGGCGAGAGAAATGTAATTTTGATTTAATTCTTGGCTCCTCTGAAATGTGCCTGTACACTGCTCAGACGTCGGGGGAGGAGAGAGTGCGGCGAGAACACTTCTCATGAATGGAAAGGAGAGAAATGGCAGTTTGAAGGAGTATCAGGCTCCATTTAAAGGCCCATTTACCATGTGACACTTTATAAATTATTTCAAATATAATCTTGAATATAATCAACAGTTCCTTTCTGCCTCCTCCCTGCACACCCACCTCTTCCCACATCTCTTTTCAAAGGAAAAGATCTTAGGTAAGGCTGCCTTTCCATCGATTCCTCTGAAGTTGCAGGAAGCTGAAATTACGGTGTAAATTACCTCTTAGCTTGAATGAGGGTAAATTTATGCTGACCAGTGAGGGAACAAAGCAGGTTTGAATTCTGTGGCCAGAGTGGCTCTATCTTCCTCCCCTCAATTCAATGAATGATGCATTAATTTATTAAGCACTTATGTGCAGGGCACTCACACTATTTCATGTATCTGGTCTACTCTGAGAGCAGTGACTCTGCCTTTTTTTTTACCTGCATGATGCAAAGGCTATTTAGCGATTAAGTGACAGATGGTGTACCAGGTGTCCTGTATCCCAGCCCTGGCTCTGCCATTTAGCTGTGTGACTCAGGGCAAGTTACTTTGCCTCTCTGTGCCTTAGTTTCCTCATCTGTAAGCCAGGAATTGTAATAATACTTACCTCCTAAGGTTGTTAGGAAGCTTAAGTGAAATAATACGTGTGGCCGGGTGCAGTAGCTCACGCCTGTAATCCTAGCACTTTGGGAGGCTGAGGTGGGCGGATCATGAGTTCAGGAGATCAAGACCATCCTGGCTAACACAGTGAAGCCCCGTCTCTACTAAAAATACAAAAAAATTAGCCGGGCGTGGTAGTGGGCACCTGTAGTCCCAGCTACTCGGGAGGCTGAGGCAGGAGAACGGCGTGAACCCGGGAGGCAGAGCTTGCAGTGAACCGAGATCGCGCCACTGCACTCCAGCCTGGGCGACAGAGCGAGACTCCGTCTCAAAAAAAAAAAAAAAAAAAAAAAAAAGAAATAATACGTGTAAAGGTCTTAGCTATAGCCCTGAATGTGTTAACTGTGTCACTCACCATGCCTGGCACAGAGATGGAGTGTGGTTAACGCCCAGGAAGAATGACTACAGTAGAAGCCATAGAAAGAGCAGCTCACACTTATTGAACCTTCAGTTTTACCAAGGCACTTTGTTATGCTTGTTCCACTCATGATTTCAACTAATTCCCATGCTGACACTTCATTCCTTCATTCACTCCTGCTCATTCATTCACCATGGTTATCAGAAGCCCTGGCTATGCCAGGCATTGTGCAGACAGTGGAAAATCAAACAACAAGGTCCCTGCTACGAGCCAGTGACTTCAGTTACGTTATTGTGGGGAGAAAGATAATAGGTTAACAGAGAGGTAATCTAGAGTGACATGTTGCAAAATGACAGGAAAGGTGCTCTGAAGAGAAGCCGGTGGCCTGGGAAGAAGAGCATCACTGGAGGAGCTGTTTTAGACAGGGTGGTCAGAGGCAGCTTCCCCAAGGAGGTCACTTTTGAGTGGAGGCCCCCATGATGGGAAGAAGTGGCCCATGCTCCCATCTGGACTGGGAGGGTTTAGGCAGATGTTCCTGCTTTCATGGCACTTCTGCTTTTGTAGGAGTCAGATGTGCAGCCTGGATTTAGAATGAAGGATGACATAACTATTCAGAGGAAAAGTGCAGGGTGCTCTGAGGACACACAGCAGGGGGCCTAGACTGGGTGGGGGCCAGATTGTCTTTCCTCTGCAAATGACAGAAACCTCACTCAACTGGGTTAACCAAAAGGGGGTGTTACCGGCTCAGGTAAGTGACAAGCTGGGGTTGGGGTTGGCTTCAGGCATGGGTGCATCCTGTTGTTCAAATTGGCTTTAGCACGATGCCTCTGCTCAGTTTGCCCCTGTGTGAGCTTTGTTCTCAGCAGACTGTCAAGGTGGCATCATCAACCCCACACTGATGACCTGGTCAGGAGGATGGTCGGCATGCTCTGATTGGCCAGGTGGAGTCCCGTGCCCACTCCCAGAGAATGAAGAGCAGGTTTCCCAAAGGAAACTCAGGCTGGCATTACAGCAGAAGGACTGCTGGGCAGTTGGAACCAGCAGTTTCAGAGGACCGAGGACAGGGCCCCTGGTGGAAGGGATATTTAAGCAAATACTGTAGGATGACAGCTGAAGAGGCTGGAGAGAGGCGACATGATAGGAAAGAGAATCACAGAGTGTCAGAGTTGAGAGGGGCCTTAGAGTTAGGGGTCCGTATCATTTATTTCCCATTCTGGGACCTTCTAGGAAGGAAATAGCAGTAATGACAACTACATGGGGACAACAAGCATAACAGGGACTGTTGGGTGAACTGCAATGTAGGATCACTGTAGTTAAAGTCATCCTTTTGGAACCTCCTCTGACACTCAGCTCTCTCTCAGATCCCTGTTAGGTGCTGCTCGGGCCTTGGCTGGCATGCCTCCAAGGCCGAGACTCTCATTGCTTTCTGCATAAGCCCATTGTCTTGGAGTTCAGCTCTGCCTGTTTCTCTATCTGTTGCATCCAATTTGCTATTCTGAAGCTTCCACCCATTGGTCAAGGCTCCAGATTCAACACTTTGGAGTGCCACAAACTTTATTCTTCTTCTATGAACAGTGAGTTAATTGAAGATGAAGACAATGATTGAAACTCCTGGAAATGTGTGTTCTGCAGTCTAAATCCAACCACTTCATCCTGATGAAATTTCTTCATCAAGAAACTGTGGTTGGTGATGATCACTGCCCCTGCTGAGTCAGTGGACCAGCCAGAGATCAGAGATGATGTTTGTGGTGGAGCTCTCTCCCTCTTTGCTTGCTCCCTCTCCAAATCCTACTCTGCCTTTGCAGTCTGGGTTACAGCTTACTTTCCCCAGGAAGTATTCTCTGACTTGATTCATGCAAGCTGAGACCTCATCTCATACCACTCCCTCTTTGTCCCTTGCTTCAGTCACACTGCCCTTGTCTCTGACCTTGGACACCAAACTCATTCTAACCTCAAGGTTTTTGCATTGACTACTGTATTAGTCTGTTCTCACGCTGCTGATAAAACATACCAGAGACTGGGTAATTTATAAAGGAAAGAGGTTTATTTGTCTCAAAATTCCACATGGCTAGGGAGGCCTCACATTCATGGCAGAATAGGAAGGGATGTTTTATATGGTGGCAGACAAGAGAGAGCTTGTGCAGGGGAACTCCCCTTTAAAAAACCATCAGATCTTGTGAGATTTATTCACTATCGCGAGAACAGCATGGGAAAGACCCGCCCCCATGATTCAATGACCTCCCACCAGATTCCTCCCACGAAGTATGGGAATTGTGAGAGCTACAATTCAAGAGGAGATTTGGGTGGGGACACAGCCAAACCATATCAATTACCCTCCTGAAATGCTCTTCCCTTAGAACTCTGCTTGGTCCCATTCTTTTCGGCACACAGGGAACGTGCCTAGGAGGCCTTCCCTGCTCACCTCTCTCAGGCCTCCTTCACTCACCCATCCCCTACTCTTCATTACATATTCTGTTTTATTTTCTTCATAGCACTTAATGATTTTCTGAGAGTACCTTATCATTTATTTACCTGCTTACAGTTGTCTTCCCTGCCCCCCCGTGGGGGTAGGGACCTTATTTTCTTAGATCAACTCTGTTTCTCTGGTGTCTAGCTTAGGGCCTACCACCTAGTAGTTGCATAATAAGTATTGGCCAAATGAATGATTGATGAGTTCCCATCCCTGCACAACTCTCAATTTTATGAAATTTCCTGTATTTTTCTGATTTCCTCCTTCTATACCTTCTCCAACCCCTTCAGCATGAGTGGTCTGTTTAACCTTGAGCAATATACATGAGCATCATATTAGGATTCAGATGATATGGGATCAAGTTCTGTCTTGGCCTTTTACTAACTGCAGGAACCTTGGGGAAGTCACTGACCCTGTGCGTCAGTTTTCTCTTCTGTAAAATGGGGACAACAAAAGTGTCTAAAGCTTAGCCGGGTGTGGTGGTGCACGCCTGTAGTCCCAGCTACTCAAGAGGCTGAGGCAGGAGGATTGCTTGAGCCCAGGAAGTTGAGGCTGCAGTGAGTTATGACTGTGCCACTGCATTCCAGCCTGGGCAAGAGCAAGACCCCATCTCTAAATAAATAAATAAGTAAATGAAAGTGCCTAAGGCGCAGAGAGAGTGTGAGGCTCACATGAGATCATGGGCATGAAAGCATCCTGCAAAGTGAAAATGCTATGCAGATATTAGGAAATGAGGTTGCTTATAGGTAAGCTTGCATTGTTAATTATTAGGTTGTACCATATGGAATTACCAATATTCAGCCATTTTGACTTAACTGTGTTAGTCGGTTTTCATGCTGATGATAAAGACATACCCGAGATGGAGCAATTTACAAAGAAAGAGGTTTAATTGGACTTACAGTTCCACGTGACTGGGGAAGCCTCACAATCATGGTGGAGGGCAAGGAGGAGCAAGTCCCATCTTACATGGATGGCAGCAGCAGGCAAAGAGAACATGAAGAAGACGCAAAAGTGGAGACCCCTGATAAAACCATCAGATCTCCTGAGACTTACTCACTACCAAGAGAAGAGTATGGGGGAAACTGCCCCATGATTCAATTATCTCCCACTGGGTCCCTCCCACAACACATGGGAATTATGGGAGTACAATTCAAGATGAGATTTGGGTGGGGACACAGCCAAACCATATCACTTACTAAAATGGCAATTTCATATGATTTAATCTAATGTTTTTCCACTGAAAAGTAGGTTTTGTGTCCCCTGCCCCACCCCATAACTAGAGTACTCTGGTAAGTTCTTTGAGGGCAGTCATTATATTCTTCACCAAGCTTAGCAGACTGCTCTGCATACAGTAGGTGCCTGCATGTGTATATTTGGATAATTCATCTTCCTATAGAGTGATCAGAGGTTAAATCAACAGGAGGTGCTTATCTGTGTTTAGAGGGCTCAAGGAACTCTTTCTAAAGGAGGCTCCATCAGAGCTGAGTCTTGAAGGTTGAGTAGTTGTTCAGCAGGTGGACAAGAGGACAAGGGCATCCCAGTTAGAAGGAGCAACATGTGCAAGCGTGTGGAGATGCAGAAATATGGCGCATTCTGGGAACTCCAATTCACTGTCTCTGCGTGGCATAACACCTTTCTAGATCAAACCAAACTGTCCCTGTCTCTCCCTCCCCAGCATCTCAGGTCACTCACTATCTCTACTGTTCACGTAGCCCTTTGCACACCTGTTGTGGTGATTGCTATTTTTTTTTTTTTTTCTGAGACGGAGTCTCACTCTGTCACCCAGGCTGGAGTGCAGTTTTGCGATTTCAGCTCACTGCAACCTCTGTCTCCCAGGTTCCAGCAATTCTCCAGCCTCAGCCTCTCGAGTAGCTGGGACCACAGGCATGTGCAATCGTGCCCAGCTAATTTTTATATTTTTTTTCTGTAGAGATGGGGTTTTGCCATGTTGCCCAGGCTGGTCTCAAATTCCTGAGCTCAAGGCCATCCACCTGCCTTGGCCTCCCAAAGTGCTGAGATTACAGGTGTGAACCACTGCACCCTGCCCGGTGGTTCTATTTTTGATCTTCACCTGCAGTCTCTCCCCTTGTGGGTAAGCAGCAAAGACAAGGGGCCTGCAGCATCCGCTTGTGTGATCATCCAGAGAGCAATCTCCGTGCCGATGGTCATTAGACAAACAGTGGCTGATTGGATTGGAGGCTTGGTCTTGTCCCTGTGAGATTCCCCATCTCAAATTAGGCCAGTTTATGTTGGGGAGATCAAAGCCCTGTCCAGCCTGACCACAGCCAGGCAAAGCTTCTGGCTGTGGCAACAGGGAGAGAAAGGGACTTGTTTTACTGAGTGTCAATGATGGCCCAGGCAACATACTAAGCATTTCATTTATTCTTTCATTCTCGGAGCACTTAATATGTGCCAGACACTGTTCCAGATAGGGAAATACAACAGCAAACAACCCAAGTACTTGCCCACAGGATTATAGTCTAGGGAGGAATACAAGCAATGAACAATGAAACAAAAAGATATATAACATAACATCATGTGATATAATGTAATATAGGGTCACATAATGTCACATGTAATACCACTTATGTGATAGCGAGGGATTTATTTAATCATAACAACACTCTGTAATATGGTTTTTGTTTTTGCTTTTTTTATTTTTCATTTTAAGGAGGAGGAAACCAGGGCTGAGAGAAGTTGGTAATTTGCCTAAGACAGCAGAGCTGCTGGGAGGGAGTGTTTGAACTTGCTATCTGAATCCACCGTACAGCACTGCCTCCCAGGCTTTTAACTGGAAGATATGCATTTGTATCCCAGCTTTGCGCATGCCCACTGTGCACTTGGGCACATTGTTTCACTTCTGCAAGCCTTAGTTTTCTCACCTGAAAAATGGATTAATAGATGCGGGCTTCAGGAGGATTGCTGTGAGATGAGGGGTGAAGGAGGCTGTTTGCAAAGTTCTATGAAAGTTTTCAGTTTCCACATCTGCTTTTGTGGTATGCCTCACATGGCTGGGATACTTGAAAACTTTGCCCCAGTGCTATGTTTCAATGTCTTCGATTAATCCTTGCTCATGATTAATCAGTTTGTTCCTGTTGCTCTGAAGACAGAAACCAGCTCCAGAGGGGACTGGAGGGCAGGTGCTGGGTCTGGGTGTGTGTGAGAAGGGAACTGTTTTCTATAGATTCTCTCTCAACAACCTGCACACAGATTAGCCATTTCTCTAGCTATAAATAAAGGTGCCCCCCCCATCTCTGTGGTTGGGAGGAAATATCAATAACATGACTAATTATGGAAATTGCATAATGCATCATTAGTTAGTAATTATGACTTTGTCAAGTGCCTGTTAATTTTTATGTAAGAATCACTCAGTGTGTGACATGGAAATATTAGCTTGTCATCCGGCTTTCCTTTCTGGTGGGGAGAATGATTTGAAAGTTTAGGTTAATGAGGTGTCAGGGTGAAGAAGGGGGAGAGGGAGGAGAAGGAGGAGGAAGAGAGGTGGAGGAGCAGAAGGAGGGGGAGAATTACCGGGGAAGGAAGAAGAGGAGAAGGAAGGGGTATGAAGAAGGAGGAGGAGTGCGTAATGAGACAGGAGATACCACACATGGGGAGATGCAGGTGGAAGGACCCAGGAGCTGTCCTCACAAGGTGAATCAAGTCAAGCCTCCTGCTTCTATCCCAGACCCAGAGTTTGCATGGGGTGTTGACACATTTCCCTAATAAGAAGGCATTATCATTTTACAGCCTCCCTGGAGAGTCTTGGCATGTCTCATTTTGCTTGAATAAATTATTAATTTGGTCTAATTAGGCTCATCCAGCAGCTGGGAGGCAGGTCGAGCTAATTCAGGATTCCTTTGTGGGTCTGCCTGCATGCTTGGTTCTGTGGAGGTGGGGGTTGGACTGGAAAGCACAGCCCCTTCCCATTAGAGGGGGTTGAGGCAGGAGGGAGGGCGGTGGAGGTGGGAGGTAACATCCAACTCCATCCACTTGTGACTTCACAGGCACCTGCTGACTTGGTTGCAAGTGCTAAGAACCTATGTCTTTTTTTTCCCCTTTGAGACAGGGTCTTGTTCTGTCACTTAGGCTTGAGTATAGTGGCATGATCATAGCTCACTTCAGCCTTCACCTCCTAGGCTCAAGGGATCCTCTTGCCTCAGCCTCCCAAATAGCTGGGACTACAGGCATGTGCCACCATACCTGGCTAATTTTTTTTTTCTTTCACTTTTTGTAGAGGTGGAATCCAGGCTGGTCTTGACTCCTGGTTTCAAACTATCCTCTGCTTCAACCTCCCAAAGTGCTGGGATTACAGGTGTGAACCACTGCACCTGGCCAGAAACTATGTCTTTCTTTGGACACTTGGATCCTTAGTATCATCTGCAGAGTTGCCGAGGTCAGGAGAGGACATGCTTCAAGCATGTTTCTCAGCCCTGTGGTCAAGGTTCTTCACAATTAGGGTGGATTCACCAGGTTTATTTTCTTGGAGTTCCAGACTCCCAAAGATGGCTCCAGTTGCACAGATTTTGAAGCAAGACAGCTGTGCTTCAGAACATAGCTCCACCCCACGCAGCTTTTGAACTTAAGAAAGTTACATCAACCCTCTGTGGCCTTGGCCACAGCGGAATAATGACCACCTGTCCTTGCTCTGACACTGCAGAGATGAATCGAGATGATAAATACATGCATACTTCCTAGTACAGTATCTGCCTCATCATAGGTGTTCAATAAATGGTAGTTGTGAAGCTTATGAGAGAAGTGGGGCATAAATAGTTACAGATATTTTATGCACAAGGAAATTAAAATCCAAGGAGCTGTTATAACTTGCCTAGGACAGACTAGACGAAGTCCCTGTCCTTTTTTCTTCCTGCCCCACCAGGCCATCTCTCAAAGTTGACATTGGCATTTGGCTATTTATTTATTTTTTGACAGAAGTTTGTGGTTGCTGGAACATAGGCAATAAAAAAGCCAAATGTGCTTAAGAGCCCTGATTATTTTTTAACGGCGTTCAAATCCCTGTGACATTTCTCCCCATGTAATAAGGTTTCAAGATTTAACTTGTTTTCAAGAGAACGAATTCATCTTCACGGCTTTTCCTGTTTTCCAATGAACAAGAACCTGTTTCTAAGCAGCAGCATTAGAATCCATCAGACCCTCTTCTGAGCCCGCAGAGCCCAGGTACAAGCTCAGGCAGCTCACCCATGTCGGGTATCCACTGGTTCTTTGTGTATTTGTCTCCTAGGCTAGGCTCTGAGCACCTGGAAGGCGTTGCTCTTCCCCATGGGTAGGGGCTGCAGCTGGATGCTCTTCCAGGCCAGGGGTGCATCTTTATTTCAGAGTACCCAGCTCAGGGTACTGCACATGATAGCCTTTCTAGAACTATTACTACTTTTTTTTTTTTTTTTTTTTTTTGAGATGGAGTCTTGCTCTGTCGCCCAGTCTGGAGTGCAGTGGCGCGATCTCCGCTCACTGCAGGCTCCACCCCCTGGGTTCATGCCATTCTCCTGCCTCAGCCTCCTGAATAGCTGGCACTACAGGCGCCCACCACCTCGCCTGGCTAATTTTTTTTTTTTTTGTATTTTTAGTAGAGACGGGTTTCACCATGTTAGCCAGGATGGTCTCGATCTCCTGACCTCATGATCCACCCACCTCGGCCTCCCAAAGTGATGGGATTACAGGCATGAGCCACTGCGCCTGGTCCCTAGAACTTCTTGATGAAAAAAGAAAAGACACTCAGCCACAAAGCTGGAGTGACTGTAATTTAATCTTTCACTTGTGTTCAGAAGGCTCTTGTAGCACCTCAAGGCCAGCAATTTAAATCAATCAACACATAATAACATCACTCACTATGGCACTGCCTCTGCTCCCAAGTGCTAGCTCGTATTATTAGAGAATCAGAGACTGAGTCCTTTGTATTACAAATGGGGAGACCGAAGCCCAGAAGAAAGCAATGTATGCAAGGACATCTATATTTAACTTCCCTCTCCACAGCTCCTTTCATCAAATTATCAGATGTTCTTAATGCTTCTGTATGTGTGTGTGTGTGTATATATATATGTGTATATATATACACCACATATATACATACATATATGTATATATACACATATATACATGTACATATATACGTATATATACACACATATGTACGTATATACACATATATACATATATGTGTGTATGTGTATATACACATATGTGTATATATGTATATATACCTACATATGTGTATATATGTATATATATCTACATATATGTATATATATCCATATGTATGTGTATATATACACATATACGTATATGTGTGTATATATATACCCATATACGTATATATGTGTATATATACGTATACACGTATATATGTGTATACGTATACATGTGTATATATACGTATACATGTGTATATATGCGTATACATGTGTATATATACGTGTATATACGTATATATACGTGTATACATATCATATACACGTATATATACGTATAATCATATATGTATATATGTGTATAATCATATATATACGTATATATGTGTATAATCATATGTATACATATATATGTATATACACATATATACGTGTATATACACGTATATATGTGGTGTGTATATATACATATATGCATATATGTGTATATACATACACACTATATATATGTATTTTAATCTCCTGTCTGCATAACTTGGTGCCAAGGTTGCTGTAACCCCTGCTCCACAGGTCTTCCTGCCTCTCGTCTCTTCCATATCAGCTTGCTTAGCTTTGCAGGAGACAGAGTCTCCTGAAAAAGGGTTTCTTTGTCTCATTCCACTTCTTAAAGGAGCCTACCATGGGTTTTTTTTTCCAGCGCTCTTCAAGGGTACCCGAAGCGAATTTGCACCAAAGCAGCAGCTGCGTTGCTGCAGTTCTATCTTCACCTTCACGATGTTTCTCTTGGTCAAAAACACACTCAAGTCGTCTCCAAGTTCGAAGCATTCAGCAAACAATGGCAAGGCAGAGCCACCAGAAAGGTACACCTGATTTTCATGACAGATATGGTAATGCTGTATTAGCTAGTGGAGCCACTTTCTGTACTGCTGTATGGACAAGTGTAGCAACACAAATCGAAATGGAATGGAACCCATCCCCTGTTAGCTGAGCCACCCCAAAAGGACGGATAGATCAGTGATCATTCCAGCTGGTGTAATACCGAATTGTTTAAAAAACAGCTCATGATTGATGCCAAGTGAAAGCACTGTGTGCCCATTAAGAATTAGCCGGGCGTGGTGGCGGGCGCCTGTGGTCCCAGCTTCTCGGGAGGCTGAGGCAGGAGAATGGCGTGAACCCAGGAGGCAGAGCTTGCAGTGAGCCGAGATCGCACCCCTGCACTCCAGCCTGGGCGACAGAGCGAGACTCTGTCTCAAAAAAAAAAAAAAAAAAAAAAGATATGACATTATTGAAGAAATAAAGTATATTTGAAACCTTCAAAAAAAAAAAAAAAAAAAAAGAACCTATCGTGGCTTTTTAATGCCTACTCATTGCCTAAGGAAAGAAAATCTGCACAACTTTCTCAAGAAAAATTAGTGTGTGCCTCGGGGAGGAGTTTCCAAAATTCATCCGGGTGCTTAAAAACAAACCTGTTATGTAGCACTATATAATAAGTGTTTGTTGTTGCTGCTCTTATTATTATCATTTATTATGAATGTCACTGTTGTTATTGTTATTATTCCGCTCTAATGGAATGCCAGGATATATATCAATACAGCAGGACTTCCCGGGAACTGGAACTGGGATTCAGAAAATGTGTTATCTCTTTCAGGACATGTTTTTGACATGCCTCTATAATTGGATTTTCAGAGTGGCCCACAACTCCTAAGTAGTAAAGAATCACTACCTATTTCTTATCAATTTTGTCCCTGGATCAAGCCAGACATCAGAGAGGGTATGCATTTAGACTTTACTGACTCCTTGTAGAATTGTTTTCATATTGGCCATAATTGAAGGACATTATAAGAAACTGGGACAAAAAATAGGTCTTTGTATTTGTTGTAGGATATATTGAAAGTGTTGTCCATTACCATTCATGCTTTCCCCTTTATTGGGGAGTAATTTCTCTCAGGTTCCTGCACCAAGGAAAACTATTATTTCCTTCCTTCCTTCCTTCTTCCCTTCCCTCCCGCCCTCCTTCCTTCCTTCCTTCCTTCCTTCTTCCCTTCCCTCCGTCCCTCCCTCCCTCCTTCTTTCCTTCCTTCCTTCCTCCCTCCTTCCCTCCCTCCTTTCCTCCCTCCCTCCCTTCTTCCTTCCTTCTTCCTTCCTTCTTCCTTCCTTCTTCCTTCCTTCCTTCCCTCCCTCCCTCCCTCCCCTCCCTCCCTCCCTCCCTTCCTTCCCTCCTTCCTTCCTTCCTTCCCTCCTTCCCTCCTTCCTTTTTTATGAGACAGGTTCTCCTTATCTTGCCCAGGCTGGTCTCTAATTCCTGGCCTCAAGTGATCCTCCTGCCTCAGCCTCCCAAGGTGCTAGGATTACAGGCATGAGCCACCACACCCAGTCGAAACCTTTTATTCTGCTGATTAGTTTGTATTTAATGCTTTGAACAATGAGGGACATTATAATAATGCCGAGATTTTCCTCTTTGCTTTCGGTGCTGGGAATCTCTAAGTCAGCTCTCCAACCTACCTCCTACAAGGCTTTATGGATGCTTTTCATGTGCTTAAGTGAATTCATCTTGTATTTTCACCTTATTTCCTTTTGCTTTGATTTTCTTATTTAAAAATCTGTTTTACTATATTCATCTCTGTAAGCCACCTTGGTTCCTTTATTTGGTATGAAGTAGGATATAGCAAACAAATATCTGTTCCTCTGTTGGTCCCACCCCATCCCAACCTGGAGACTGCATCAGAACAGGAAATACCTAGAGGCTACCAGAAAGAACCCTTTTCCTGATCCAGGAATTCATTAAATTAAGGTATTCATTCTTTCAACAGCTACTCCTTCAGTCCCACTGATGGGACAGGCATTGTTCTGGGTTCAGTATGCTATTCCTAGAAAGCGGAGTCTGAGGCAAAAGCGCATGTGCTATGACTTTATTAGGGAGTGTTACCTAGGGTCACTGGCATGGCCGCTGCTTGTTATCAAGTGCAATGGATTGCTCAGTCTCATGAGGCTGTCACTGGAGAAGTAGGAAAGATGTGACTGAAAAAAGTCCACTTGGGAGAGAACAGAGGAAGCCCTCATGGCTGGTTCCCATCTCCTGTTGGTCAAAGGCTTGCACCAAGTGCAACTTGCCTGTACTTCTGGGCAGTGTGGGCACCAAGAGGGTCTCACAGAGTCTGCTGTCATACAGGTGTGGCTGTCAGAGGAGGACTGCTGGATTGTGCCACGTGGAGCCAGGCAGAAGCCATACACAGCTGGTTGCTACAGCAAGTGGAGCAGACCAAGTGTCCGGCTGCAGAAGAGGTGTCTAATAGAAGGAGACAGCAGTGAGCAAAGCAGAGTGTGCCTCTGACCTCACGAAGCAGACACCCTAGTTGGGGGTGTGTGCTGGGAGTTTCCAAGACCACTCCCAGGTTCAATGATTCATTAGGAGGACTCACAGGACTCAGTACGGCAGTGGTGCTCATCACTATGATTTGTTATGGTGAAAGGATGCCAAACTAGATCAGCAAAAGGAAAAGGCATATGGAGCGAAGTCCAGAGGAAACCAAGTGTAAGCATCCATGAGTCCTCTCCCAGTGGTCACACAGGACAGGCTTAATTCCTCCAGCAATGGATTGTGACAAAACATGTCAAATGTGGCCAGATGCTGTGGCTCACACCTGTAATCCCAGCACTTTGAGAGGCCGAGGTGGGTGGATCACCTGTCTTGGATCAGGAGTTCAAGACCAGCCTGGCCAACATGGTGAAACCCCGTCTCTACTAAAAATACAAAAATTAGCCGGGCATGATGGTGGGTGCCTGTAATCCCAGCTACTCGGGAGGCTGAGGCATGAGAATCACTTGAACCCAGGAGGTGGAGGTTGCAGTGAGCTGAGATCGCGCCATTGCACTACAGCCTGGGTGACAGAGTGAGACTGTCTCTAGAAACAAAACAAAAAATATATGTGAAATGTTCTGTACCAGGGAAGCTCATCAGAGATCAGTGCCCAGGGCATTGGGGGGCTGGTCACATAGGTACCCTCTTCTTAGCACGGAAACTCTAGCCTCTCAGTAGGAAAGCAAGTGTTCAGCATAAACCACATTGTACAAACAGTTTGGAACAGTGAGTCACTTTTAACAGGAAATGGGAACCCTCTGGAATTCCAAATTGTCTGATGCCAGCCAAGGGCCAACCTCGTAAACAGGCCTTTTGAAGGACAGCAGTTAGGAGTGCTAGGTTAACTTTTTTTTTTTTCTGTACAGGGAGATAGATAAAAACAGACAGACAAGGATACATATAATGTAGTAGATGGTCAGGGTATCTGACAGCCCATTTGTTGTTTTTGTGTAAATTAGAGACTTGGCCTCCCTGATGGCAAACATGGCTGGTTCACAGTTTGTGGGCACTTGGTGAGTGTAAAAGAAAACTTCGTCCTGTCACTCTTCCCCTACCCCAGACCCAATCCACACTCCCCTATTTAGCAGTCCTGTAGATGGTGGTAGGTGTTGTAAAGAAACATACAGCAGGAGAAAGGAATGGAAAAGGTCAGGATGCAGATGGCATGGATGGGGTTGCTATTTTATTCAGGGCTGTCAGGGAAGGCCTTGCTGATGAGGAGACACTGGACAAAGGCTTGAAGGAATGGAGTGAGCCATGAGGCCGTCTGGAAGGACATCCCAAGGAGAGGAAATAGCACATGAAAAGAACCCGAGGCGCATGAGTTTTTGGCAGGGTCAATGAACTGAAAGTAGTGCAATGAGTTGGAGGGAATGAGAACAGGAAAGGGTGGTAGAAGATGGGATCAGAGAAGTTGTAGGGGCCAGGTCATATGTTTGTTTATGAGACCTATTTATTATGTGGTGAATTGGTTTTAGAGCATAATTTCAGACACCCCTTGTAAGTATTATTTTTATGCAGGGACTTAGACCCACGATCTTCCAAGCGTGTTAAGTGGCTTTCTGAGCTAAACCGTGTCTCAATGGATTCTTGAGTTCAATGACCCCGGAGAGTTTTGATGACTCTGCTAAGGCCAAGTTGTTCCACGACTGGAAATCACCCATGCTGGCTCTGTGTGAAATTGCTACTTTTCATTAATGAGCCCAACCATGTAACACCATCATGGCATCATTTCAGGGAGACTTTTCTATGATGGAAGCTATTTACTTTATGACCCAAGTTGTACCTTTAGCAAGGGGGACACAAGAGGCACACACATCCTGGCGAAAAAATTTGTAAAGATTTTGACATTGATAGAATCACAGGGTTTCTCTTGCATTTAACTCACTTCTGCAAACATTTATAGAGTACTATTCTATGCATTGTTGAGATCAGTCTCAGTACAAGCCCCTGTTTAATATTTCTTTCTCACAGTTGGAACCATTTGATCCCATCTTAGGCTCAGTCTTATCTTCCACTCAGCAGGCCCATCTTACACTGGAGAAACAGGACTTTGGTCCAGCTATAACCCCATAACCTTGAGCTTGACACCAGCATACTCTGGCTGCTGATTTAGCTCCACTGAGATGTCCAGTTCTGGTTCTTATGAGTCCCTGTGAACCTACTCTGTACCCTATTATGGCACCAATTCTTCTGCCTTGGACCGTGTTCCTGCCTCATCTCTTCTTTGTTCTGGACAGTCTCCTGTATATGGAGAAGACATTTTTCCAGAATTTCATTCTGTTGGCTGAAAATCACCTATTTATAACAAATTCCCCAATGCTATCTGCAAGTTTTATTTAGCAGTATTGTGCTAACCTTGTATTTCTGTGTTCTACCCACTTTAAGGTTCTGAGTTATAAGGCTAGATAGATTAAAGTTAGAATACCAGTTCTACCATTACTAGCTATGTGATATTGAGAACATTCTTTAAGTTCTCTAATCCTTGATTTCTTTATGTGTAAAATGGAAATAATTATGGTACCTGCTTGATATAAGGATTAAGCAAAATTATTTTTGGAAATGAGCACCCACAATAAGTGCTCAATAAGTGGTACTGTATTCTTTCATGTTTGGCATATTAACTGATGTGTTTTGGGGAATATTAGGTTAATAGTTAAATTTTGCTTTATGTATTTGAATGCATGTTATTAGTTGCATACAAGTTTAGAATTGTTGTATCTTCCTGATAGCATTTTTTTTGCCTTAATATTTCTCAGTCTGACAGCTGTCTCTTTGTTGGGATTTGTCTAGTTTTTTCATTGTTTTATTTTCAACCTTTTTTTAACCTCATAAATAGCATATAATTGAGGTTTGTTTTTGTTTTTTTGTTTTTTGTTTTTTGTTTTTTTTTTGAGACAGGTTCTCACTCTGTTGCCTAGGCTGGAGTGGAGTGCAGTGCAGTGGTGCAATTTTGGCTCACCACAACCTCCACCTCCTGGGTTCAAGTGATTCTCATGCCTCAGCCTCCCAAGTAGCTGGGACTACAGGTGTGCACCACTATGCCTAGCTAATTTTTATATTTTTAGTAAGACAGGATTTTGCCATTGTTGGCAGTTGGCCAGGCTGGTCTTAAACTTCTGACCTCAGGTGATCCATCTGCTTTGGCCTCCCAAAGTGCTGTGATTACAGGTGTGAGCCACCATATCCAGTCATGATTGAGTTCTTAATACAGTGTTATAGTCTCTGTCTTTTAATTGGAGAGTTTAGCCCATTTACATTGATTTTGATTTTTAATTTTTTTTTTTTTTTGAGATGAAGTCTCTCTCTGTCACCCAGGCTGGAGTGCAGTGGCACAGTCTTGGCTCACTGCAACCTCCGCCTCCTGGTTTCAAGTGATTCTTGTGCCTCAGCCTCCCAAGTAGCTGGGATTACAGGCTTGTGCCACCACGCCTAGCTAATTTTGTATTTTTAGTAGAGACAGATTTCTCCATGTTGGCCAGACTGGTCTCAAACTCCCCACCTCAGGTGATCTGCCCGCCTTGGCCTCCCAGAATGCTAGGATTATAGGTGTGAATCACCATGCCCAGCCTGGTTTTTAATTTATTTAGATTCATTTCTGCTGATTTTAACTTTTCTGTGACCCACATTTTCTAGGCTTTTTCTTTTAGTTTCTATTTTCTTTTGCCTTAAGATATTTTTCTCCTTATTTCACTTTTTTCTCCACTTGTTTAGAATTTATACTAAACTTATTTTCTATTTTTCTGGTTTCTCTAGAAATATATGTGCATTGTTATATTACAACACATAATTGTATAAATATATGTAATAGTATATACTGTCATATAATTGTACACATATAAGTATATAATATATAATGTATGTAAGTTTATATATTATGTATATCAACATTCTAAAGTTAATTAACAATTTTATTTTTCTCCTGAACAAAGCAAGAGCCTTAGAATACTTTATGATTACCTGCCTCCTGACTTGTTTGTTATTGTTTTGTATTTTAATTCTTTCTTGATTTCTTAACTTCACATATTGCATGTCATTGTGTCTTATAAAATCAATGTTTGTTTAGATTTCCCCATATATTTACCATTTATTTGTTTCTATTCCTTTTTGTATCTGAAACCTTCTGAGATCATTTTCCTTCCTTGTGAAACATGTCCTTGTTTGTTAATAGACTATTCTCTGTCTTTTTTCTCTCTACAAATGCCTTTATTTCACATTTGTTGATTGAAATATAGTTTTTTTCTTGATACAGAATTCTAATCTGGTAGTTACTTTCAACACTTTGAAAATATTAATCTATTTTCTTGTGGCTTTCATAGTTGCTACAAAGTCAGTTGTCAGTTTAATTGCTCCTTTGTAGGTAATATCATATATCCCTTTTCTCTGAATTAAGATTTCCTACTTAATTCACTAATTGCACAAGTATTTGTTGATGGTTATCATGCGCTAGGTACCCCCTCCCATCATGGAACCTACATTCTAGGGTCTTTGGCATTTTGAAGTTTGCCTCTGATGTATGAAGATATTGATTTCTTTAAATTTATCCTGGTTAAGGCTTTCTTTGTTTCTTTGAATCTTTGGTTTTATGTCTTTTATCAGTGCTGGTATAATCTTAATCATTTTGTTTTTATTTCTTTAAATATAGTTTCTTCATGATTCTCCGCATTTGTTCATTTCTGAATTGTTATTTCTTGTCTTCTGCAAGCTTTGGGGTTGATTTATTCTTGCTTCTCTAATTCTTTCGGTTGTGAATTTAGGTTGTAATTTTGAGATCTTTCTAACTTTTTGATGTGGGCATTTAGTGCTGTGAATTTCCCTCTTAATATTGCCTTAGCTGTGTCCCAGAGATTCTAATATGTTGTATCTTTGTTCTCATTATTTTCAAAGAGCTTTTTGATTTTGCCTTAATTTCAATATTTACCCAAAAGTCATTCAGGAGTATGCTGTTTAATTTCCATGTAATCACATGGTTTTGAGCGATTTTCATAGTTTTGACTTCTATTTTTATTGTGCTGTGCTCCGAGAGTTTGTTTGGTATGATTTTTGTTCTTTTATGGTTGGTGAAGATTGTTTTATGTCTAATTATTTGGTAAATTTTAGAGTATGTGGCATGTAGTGATGAGAAGAATGTATACATTGTTGTTAGGTCCTTAATATCTTTGTTAATTTTCTGCCTTGATTGATGATCTGTCTAATACTGTCAGTGGAGTGCTGAAGTCTCCCACTACTATTGTGTGAGAATCTATGTCTCTTCATAGGTCTCTAAGAACTTGCTTTATGAATCTGGGTGGTCCTGTGTTGGATGCATATATATTTAGAATAGTTGGATCTCCTTGTTGAATTGAACCCTTTGGCATTCTGTAATGCCCTCCTTGGTCTTTTTTGATCTTTGTTGGTTAAAATCTGTTTTGCCTGAAATTAGGATTGTAACCCCTGCTTTTTTCTGTTTTCATTTGTTTGGTAGATTTTCCTCCATCCCTTTATTTTGAGCTCATGAGTGTCATTACATGCGAGATGGGTCTTTTGAAGACAGCATACCATTGGGTCTTGCTGTTTTATACAGCTTGACACTCTGTGCCTTTTAAGTGGGGCATTTAGCTTGTTTATATTCAAGTTTAATATTGATATTTGTGGATTTGATCCTGTCATTGTGCTGTTAGCTGGTTATTATGTTGGCTTGTTTGTGTGGTTGCTTTAAAGTGACACTAGTCTGTGTGTTTAAGAGTGTTGTGTTAGTTGGTAGCAGTCTTTCCTCTGTATTTCATGCTCCTTTCAAGATCTCCTGTAAGGCAGGTCTTGTGTTAATGAATTCTCTCAACATTTGCTTATCTGAAAAGGATCTTATCTGTCCTTCACTTAGGAAGCTTAGTTTGGCTAAATATGAAATTCTTGGTTGAAGATTTTTTTTCTTTAAGAATGTTGAATATAGGCCCTCAATCTCTTCTGGCTTATAAGGTTTCAGCTGAGAGGTCTTGCTGTTAGCCTGATGGCATTCCCTTTGCAGGTGACCTGCCCCCTTTCTCTCTAGCTGCCTTTAACATTCTTTCTTTCATTCTGGCCTTGACAAATCTGACAATTATGTGTCTTGGGGATGATTTTCTTGTGTAGAATCTTGCAGTAGCTCTCTATATTTCCTGAATTTGACTGTTAGCCCCTCTAGCAAGGTTGGGAAAGTTTTCATGGAAGATATCCTGAAATATGTTTTCCAAGTTGTTTGCTTTCTCCTCCACCCTTTCAGCATTGCTTACGATTCATGGATTTGGCCTCTTTACATAATCCCATACTTCTCAGAGATTTTGTTCATTTCTTTTTATTCCGTATACTTTATTTTTGTCTGACTGTCTTATTTCAGAGAACCAGCCTTCAAGTTCTGAGATTCTTTCCTCAGCTTGGTTTATTCTGCTGTTAATACTTGTGATTGCATTGTGAAATTCTTGTATTATGTTATTGAGCTCTGTCAGACCTGTTAGGTTCTTTTTTATATTGATTATTTCGTCCTTCAGCTCCTGTTTCACTTTATTGTGATTCTTATCTTGGATTGAGTTTTGCCATCCTGAATCTTGATGATCTTTGTTCCTATCCATATTCTGAATTCTTCTGTAATTCTAGTCAGTTCGGTCTGGTTAAGAACTCTTGTTGGAGAACTGGTGCAGCCATTCGGAGGACATACAACACTCTGGTCATTTGAATTACTGGAGTTCTTGCATTGGTTCATTTTCACCTCTGCGTGTGGGTGTTCCTTTAACTGCAGTGTAGATTGAGTACAGTCAATAGACTTCTTTTCTGGATGTTTTCACTGGGCTGAGGTTTTGTGCAGGATCTTTATTTGAAGCCGTCTTCTTGCCTCTGGTTTCAGGGGTGTCTGTTAGTGAGGTATTTTTGGTGTGGAAGCTTTGGGGTGTGGTTCAGCAGGTGACACTTAAGCTTATTGGTCAGTTGGTAAACTCTCACTCAATTATGTAGCTCCCCTGTGTTTCCTTGCAGTTGCAGTCATTTTCCCTCTCAATGCTCTGAAGGTGTGGGTTTCTCTCTCCCTTGAGTGCTGGCTGTAGGTTGTGACTTGGCACTCCTGGGCTGCCTGCTGCAGCTCTGGGGTGATCTCAGTGTTTATGTTTCTTCCCCAACTTGGAGGCAGCAGAGGAAGGGATCTTAGTAGTACTTGTGGCCAAAGGTCATTTGCTTGTCTCCTGGGGGCTCCTCCTCAGAGAGATGCTGTTCAGTAATCATCAGTGCAGTCAACCCTGGATGGAGGGTCTGTGCTGTGGACCCAAGCCAGGGGTTCCCTGTGTGGTGATGAGCAGTTGGGGATGTGCGGTACTCATGGGAAGTGGACTGGCCTCCTCTCCTTGGGTCGATTGCAGCTGGTTGGAGGTGTGGATAAAGCACTTAGGGTGTTTGCTCCTTCATTAGTCCAAGGGTAGCAAGGGCAGTTCCACTGCAGAGGCAGTGGTGGAGAGGCTTTCACTTGCCCCTGGAGGCTCTGTCCAGGAAGTTGTTGAGTTGCTACTGGTTTGATAGCTCTGCGGGGGGCTGGGGAGGAGGTGGCTGGAGGCTGAGGCCTGGAGGATCTGCCTGGTGAGTTATCTATTCTTTATTTCTCTGCTTCTTCCTTTTTGAGTTTTATTGGATGAAATGAGTAATTTTTGTTATTCAATTTAATTTCCCATATTAACTTTTTAGATATAATAGTTTTTTGTTGGGGGGATTGTTCTAGAGATTATAATATGTATCTTTAACTCATCACTGTACCTTCAAAGGATATTATACTGTTTGAAAAACAATGTAAGAACCTTAAAACAATACAATTATTTTTATCCCTTTCTTGCCTTTTGTGCTCTTGTTATATATTTTTCCTCTCTGTATATTCTAAATCCCACAATAAATAGTTATTGTGCCTTAAACAGTCTTTTAAAATAATTTAAAATATATAATATGTAAAACAAATATAATTAAAATAACACATAAATATTTACCTTGATGTTTATTATTCTTATGTCTCTATTCCTTTCCACATCTGATTTCATTTGCCTTTCAGCTTGAAGAACTTGTTTCAGCATTACTTATAGTGCAAGTCTGCTGGAGACAAATACTCTTAGTTTTTTGCTTGTCTAAAAATGTTTTCATTTCACTTTTGTTTTTGAAGGGTATTTTCATTAGATACAGACATCTTGATTGACTTGGTTGACAGTTTTTTTTTCCTTCCAGCACTATAAAAATGCAGTTCCACTGTTTTCTGGCTACCTTGGTTTCCACTGTGACATTAGCTGTCATTCTTACGAATTGTCTATATATGATGTGACATTTTTCTCTCTTTAAGATACTGATATTTTTATACTCTATCAAATTTTAAAGATATCGTCTTTATCCTTTCAGCAGTTTGACCATAATGTGCTCCACTGAAGATTTGTTTGTATTTATTCTGATTAGAATTCACTGTTTTTCTTGGATCTGTGGCCTATAATAAACTTTTGAATTTCATATGGAGATGAAGTTTAAAACGAAATTTAAAAAATTTAAACTTTGATTAACTCACCAATCATCACATAAATTTTCCACTCTTCTCAATATATTGAAAAAAATGCATTATGATTTAAAACTTTTCCAACTATGGCAGAGATACAAATCTTCTGGAATTAAGAAAGAGAGACTAGTCAGTGAAGATTGGGGTTTAGATGTCTAGTCCCTAGAAAGACCTCTACCTGTACTTTCTTTCTAGGGAAGAATAAAAGGGAAATAGTGGTGACAACAGAATTTCCCAATTAGCGGTGCCTCATAGTAGAGGAAACATGTGCCCTTTTTCCTGCATAAGGCTTTAGAACGTGGCAAGATCCATAATTCTCCTCTGCCCTATTTTGGTCTGAGGAATTGAATAGAACTGATTTCAGGTGTCTAGACAGAGATTACTGCATGAGCCTCATAAAATTCCTGGAAAGCGGAGGAATGACTTTTTTTTTTGGAACCCAGTTGTAGCACTGATGTCAAGAAAAGCCTTAGTCATCCTCAGAGAGCTTGATGAAGGACCTGAGTGGAAGTTAGCTGTGACAAAGCTTGGAGGCTTTGCTGTTGGGACAAAGACACACAGTAGTACAGACTCTTTGAAGATGTCAAGTGGCCAGAAGGTAATGACTGAGGATCAGATTCTGCTCTCTATACTCTGTACTTTGACATTACTAAATTTTTGAGAATTTAGATAATCCTTAGTAGGGAAGTAGATCAGAAACTGAGTGAAGTTCAGTTTTTGCCCCCAAGCAAAATGAAGTTTAAGAAAGTAGTTAAATTCAGTGATGGTGGGCTGGGTGTGGTGGCTCGTGCCTGTAATCCTGGCACTTTAGGAGGCCAAGCAAGGCAGATCACCTGAGGTCAGGAGTTCAAGACCAGCCTGGCCAACATTATGAAACACTGTCTCTACTAAAAATACAAAAACAATTAGCTAGGCATGGTTGCCTGTGCCTGTAATCCCAGCTACTTGGGAGGCTGAGGTGGGAGAATCGTCTGAGCCTGGAAGGCAGAGGTTGCAGTGAGCTGAGATTGCGCCACTGCACTCAAGCCTAGGTGACAGAGCAAGACTCTGTCTCAAAAAAATAAAATAAGGCTGGGCGCACTGGCTCACACCTGTAATCCCAGCACTTTGGGAGGCTGAGGCGGGCCGATCACGAGGTCAGGAGTTCGAGATCAGCCTGGCCAATATGGTGAAACCCTGTCTCTATTAAAAATACAAAAATTAGCTGGGTGTGGTGGCACACGCCTATAATCCCAGCTACTTGGGAGGCTGAGGCAGGAGAATCGCTTGAACCTGGCAGGTGGAGGTTGCAGTGAGCCAAGATTGTGCCACTGCACTTCAGCCTGGGCAACAGAGTGAGACTCTATCTCAATAAATAAATAAATAAATAAATAAATAAGTAAGTAAGTAAGTAAATAAATTCAGTGATGGCAAAATGAAAGTTTTGTTTATTATATCCCTGAGTTTTTGGGTTGTTATTTCATCTGTAATGATGACTATTATTATTGTTATTATCATTAAACATTTTTTTTTATTATACTTTAAGTTTTGGGATACATGTGCAGAGCGTGCTGTTTTGTTACCTAGGTATACACGTGCCATGGTGGTTTGCTGCACCCATCAACCTGTCATCTACATTAGGTATTTTTCCTAATGCTATCCCTCCCCTAGCACCCTACCCTCTGATAGGCCCTGGTATGTGATGTTCCCCTCCCTGTGTCCATGTGTTCTCATTGTTCAACTCCCATTTATGAGTGAGAACATGCGGAGTTTGGTTTTCTGTTCCTGTGCTAGTTTGCTGAGAATGATGGTTTCCAGCTTCATCCATGTCTCTGCAAAAGACATGAACTCATCCTTTTTTATGGCTGCATAGTATTCCGTGGTATATATGTGCCACATTTTCTTTATCCACTCTATCATTGATGGGGATTTGGGTTGGTTCCAAGTCTTTGCTATTGTGAATAGTGCCGCAATAAACATACGTGTGCATGTGTCTTTATCGTAGAATGATATATAATCCTTTGGGTATATACCCAGTAATTGGATTGCTGGGTCAAATGGTATTTCTGGTTCTAGATCCAGCAACACTTTTAAACTCTCCTTCTTAATCAAACTTCAGCACATTCTGTATTCTTTTTCAGCGAGTAGGTTACTTCCACAGTATACCTAGAGGAAATGCATGTGCAGAAATAGCAGGAGATAAGGCCAGAGCAGTCATTTGGAACTGGATCCATGGAACATGGATCATGGAAGACCTCAATGCCAAGCTGATGTGTTTGGACAAGATCCTGCAGGCAAGTGGGGTGAGGAGGTGCTGAGAGTTTTAAGCCTAGAAGAGGCTTGATAAAAATGGTGTTTGAAGAAGACTAGTTTTGTTTTTCTGATATTGAGACAACCAGGAAGCTTAAAAAAAAAAAAAAAAACCCAAACACACAAAGAAGAACAACAACAAAATGTAGATTTTTTTCTTTTTGCTTCTCTTTTCTGAAAAAAAGAGACAAATTAGCTTATATAAAGTGATGTGGGTAAGATGGTGATAGAGGGGCTAACAATAATAAAAATCCAACTCTCAGAGCATGATGTAAAGTATGTCCAATGTTTACAACCTTCTGTGTCCTTGTATCTGCAGGGCTTCCAGTGGTGGTGTTGAGACCCTGCAAGACTGTTACCTTCCAAATCCAGTCCGTGTATTCTTATAGATTCCCCAGCTATCTTGCCTCCTCCCCTAGAAAGTGTTCCAAGACCCTTTTAGCTCTTCAAGCTCTCATTGTAATATCTGTTCCACTTTTGGGCTCATATCACTTTCTTACCTTGACTTTGAATTAATGGACTTGCCTTCTCTGTCCTACCAGACCATGAGCTTTTTGAGGGCTAGGAAACACTTCATCTTCTGACACATAGTGAATACTCAAAACATGTTGGTTAAGTGATCTAATTCATGTGAACCACTGGGACTTATAAATCTTCAGAGGGGAAAAAAAAGATTAGTGCCAGTTCATGGTGATTTTAGTTGGAAGTGTACTTCATTGTATGGGTCCTTTGAAGAGAGGTAATTCAAGTAGGCTACAGAGTCGGGAATTTTTAATTGTAGTGGCAATCTGGGATCCACAGGGAGAAAATAATTCATCAAGCATCAGTTATAAAAGAAACATTGAAAGTTTGACAAGGAATTAGAGAATAATGTGTAAAATGTCCATCTCTTTTGCATTCCAAGTTAGAGGTGGGGACGATATGTTCTGATGGGAGAGAAGAATTGGGATTTGGGATCAGACATTCATGAGCTTGCATCCTGTTCCTACACATTTTTGGCTGTGTGACTTTACACAGGTCACTCAATTTGAGTTTCAATGGCACAGACTTTGAATCTAGACTACTTGAATTTGAATTCTGACTCTGCAAAATACATAATGGTGTGACTTTGGGCAAATTACTTGTGCCTCGATATTTTGCTTTTGTGAAATAGGGGTAGTAATAGTACCTGGATTTAGAGTTATT
This sequence comes from Homo sapiens, assembly GCF_000001405.40. Lineage (NCBI taxonomy): Eukaryota > Metazoa > Chordata > Mammalia > Primates > Hominidae > Homo > Homo sapiens. Next base: position 35,180,363 of record NC_000022.11, on the reverse strand, counting down.
GAGAGGATTAAACATATTAATACTCGTGAAAGTGCTTTGAAAAGTGTCTGAAACACAGTAAATATGTAGGTTAGGTTATTATTATAATGATAAATATTGTTATTTTGCCTTGTGGGGTTATGATGCAGATTTTATATGCAGTCATGAACCCCATAATGACATTTTGGTTGATGACAGACTGCATATATGACAGTGGTCCCATAAGATTGTAATATTGTATTTTTACTATACTTTTTCTATGTTTAGATATATTTAGATACACAAACACCATTATGTTATAGTTGCCTCCAGTATTCAGTACATAATACAGTTTGAATCTATGTCCCCACCCAAATCTCATGTTCAATTGTAATCCCTAGTGTTGGAGGTGGGGCCTGGTGGGAGGCGATTGGATCGTGGGGGTGGATCCCTTATGAATGGTTTAGCATCATCTCTTGGTGCTGTTCTCATAATAGAGTTCTCATGAGATCTGGTTGTTTAAAAGTGGGTGTCACCTCCCCCAACCCTTTCTCCTGCTCCCACCATGTGAGATGTGTCTGTTCCTGCTTTGCCTTCCTCCATGACTGTATGTTCGCTGAGGCCTCCCCAGAAGCAGATGCTGCCATGCTTCCTATATGGCCTGTGGAACCATGAGCCAATTCAACCTCTTTTCTTTATAAATTATGTAGTCTCAGTTATTTCTTCATAGCAATGCGAGAATGGACTAGTCAAGTACAGTAACATGCTGTCCAGGTTTGTAGCCTAGGAGCAATAGGCCATGCCATATAGCCTAGGTGTGTAGTAGGCTATAACATCTAGGTTTGTGTAAGTGCAGTCTATGATGTTTGCACAAGGAAATCGCCTAACGATGCATTTCTTGAACATATCCCAGTCATTAAGCAATGTGTGACTGTGTATATAAATGTATATAGTATTATTTTCTTTTTTTTTTTTTTTTGAGATGGAGTCTTGCTCTGTCACCCAAGCTGGAGTGCAGTGGCGCCATCTCAGCTCACTGCAAGCTCCGCCTCCCGGGTTCATGCCATTCTCCTGCCTCAGCCTCCCATATAGCTGGGACTACAGGTGCCCGCCACCATGCCCGGCTAATTTTTTGTATTTTTAGTAGAGATGGGGTTTCACCGTGTTAGCCAGGATGGTCTCGATCTCCTGACCTCGTGATCTGCCCGCCTTGGCCTCCCAAAGCGCTGGGATTACAGGTGTAAGCCACCGCGCCCGGCCTATAGTATTATTTTCTATATGTAGTATTATCTAATGATTTTAGTTCAATGATTGATCCTTACGGTCATGCCATGGAATAGAGGCTCATTAGTAAATATTAAGGAATATACTGTCCTATCTTGATTATTTTAGGAGCACAACCATGATAGTGAAGAAAGAAATAGTAAAAGGAGGAAGGTTGATGAGGCACAAGAGAGGTAAGTTTAAAGAGGGAATGAGAATGAAAGACACCTAGGGAGAGAGCAGAAGAGGAGAGAAAGAGAAAGGGAGACAAACAGATACATTTGAACTTCGATGAGAAATAAGTCAGGAACCACGCTCTTCCAGACTCACTAAAAACAGGGACTTCAGCACCATCATTCCCTATTTTGAAATATCTACAGACAAATTAACCACGGCTCTTGCTCACTGCTGTAAGGTTGACCTCAGCAGAGCCTTGCGCCGGGCTGGGGAATGGTCCTCCCGGAGCTGGCCCCAGAGTCAGCAGTGCCCTGGGTGGGTGGGGAGATGTGGTGCTTGGCCTGTAACTCTCGCTCCATCTGGGCTCTCCTGCCAGCTGTGTGTTGTTTATGGCAGCTCCCTATGAGGAAGACAGGGAGTCACCTCCTGTCATCTGGAATCACCTGGAGCTTCCCCGAAAGTGCCGAACCACTCTGCCAGCCATTCTACCATTGTGCAGCGTGGTACACTTCGATGTGCCCGTGTGGATGCCCCAACCCTGAGACTCCACAGAAGATGTTGGCCTCATCTTCCTAGTATTCCTGCGATGTTCAGTGCCCTGCAATTTCCCTTTTCAATCAAAGCTGCTCCTGGCATTGGCAGACATGCCTGCCCAGCCTCACTCCTCTAATTTCTGGGGACACGGCAGTAGAGGGGCTTGTTGCAGAGAGGAGAGGAAGCCGAGAATGGAGACTTGGGCACAATTAAATTTGCCATTGAGACATTTCACCAACATTTGGCAAAAGGTCCCTGACTCTGTGTGGCTGTGCAGGCAGCCCAGTGCCCAGGCTGCCAGCTTCTTGGAGCTCCATGATGACTGCCAAGGGCCTGGCCATGTTCTCCTGCCTGTCAGTGCCTGTCCAGGAGGCTGCTTGCTGGCATGCTAAAAATGGAGGCCAGCTCTTGAAAAGCCAGGAGGGGGCAGTGCAGAAAAGCAGGCCTGGTAGGCACAGAGGAATCAGGCCAGGCAGCCACAGGTCTGTGGGTCTGGGCCAAGGAGACAGGTGGGAAGCAGCTGAGCCACCTGGGATCAGGTGGGTGGGATAGTGTAATTTTCACATATACTGAGCATCTCACGTGTGTGAAGCTTGCGTCTCTGTCCATTTATTCTGTTTCCTTCCTGGTAACAGAATGGATGGGCTATCCCTGCTCCTATCCAAGGCCACCTTCTCCACCTGTGCACTAGATACCTCTTCCTTCTTAAGGACATCGCTGTCGCCACTCTCTTCTCTCCTGCTTCATCAGGTTTTCTTCTAAGCTCTGGATCCTTCCCATGAGCACACAATGCAAACAGGCTGTAATGTCTTCCAACTTCAACCAAACCCTTCCTTGACCCCACATCCCTTCCCGTTGCTCCCACTTTTCTTTACTCCCTTTTACAGCTAAACTCTTTGAAAGAGTTTACTATGCTCACTGTCACCAATTTCTTGTCTCCCATTTGCTCTTGAATACACCCTAATCAGGCATTTTTCTACTCTCCCACAAACATTACTCCCAGATGGTCACATCTAGTGGATATTTGTGTTATTGTCTTAACTGACCTCTTGGTGGCTATCTGTCATTCTAGAAGCACTCCCTTCTTTTGACTTCAGGAAACCATATTTTCCTGGTTTTCTTCCCATTGATCATTTCCACCCACTCTCCTTCTCTGGCTCTTCCTCTTCTCCAGTTTCCAAAGGCTGCCCTGTCCCTGGACTTCTTCACATTGACTCCTTTCCAGTTTATATCCTCTGCCTGTACAAATTTGAACTATGGATGTGTTTACACAGCTGTCTATTTTACAGATGTCTATTTCTACTCATGCAATGGTGTGCCCTGTCTGTGCCAGGCACTGTGTGGCTGCTGGGGATCTACTGTGATCCCTGCCCTTAGGGGGCTTCTAGTCAGTGCTCTTTGCTTTCTCTGTGTGCTAACTTATAACTTGATGATTAATTTTCTGCTTTGGTATCTATATCCTCTTATTTGCTGGCTGATATTAGTTCCTAGAAACACCAGTCAGGTGTTCAAATCAAGATCTGCTTTCCAGAGTTAAGAGCTGGATCTGTGGGGTGGGGTGTAATCCAGGGCAGCCAGGAATGGGAGGGGACAAATGGCAAATGAGAACTTAGACCCTCAGAAACACAAAAGGTTAAAATCCAGAAATCCAATGGGGTCATCAAATCCAGAAATGGAGTGAGTCCAGAAATGGGACACTCATACACTGTGTTCAGTTGTGTAGGTTGTGCACTGTACAAGGGCACTCCTACCACTGGGGGCAAGTGGGGACTGAAATCAGCCTGTGTTCTTCCCATGATGAGTGCTTGCTCAGGGCTGTGTCTGCCCGGAGAGGGGAGCCTTTTTTTCCTGATTCATACAAAGCCACATAGACTGGCTGGTATCCTGACTATGAATAACCCTTGCTTCCTTTCACCATTCAGCTAGAATGCTAGTTCCTGGATGCTGTGGTTTGTCCAGACCAAAACTCATGTTCAAATTTAATTGCCGATGTTACAGTATTGAGAGGTGGTGAGGACTTTAAGAGGCCTTTGGGTCATGTGGGCTCTGCTCCCATGAATGAATTAATACAGTTCTCTTAAGACTGCATTTGTGCTCGAGGGTCTGGAATAGTTACCTTTGAGAATGGCCGCCTCTTGTCTTTGCCCTTTAACACGCTGGCTTTCCCTTCAACTTCTCTGCAATGTTGTGATGCAGCACGAGACCCTCAGCAGAAGGTGAGCAGATGCCAGCACTATGCTCCTTGGACTTCCCAGCCTCCAGAATCCTGAGCTAAATAAATCTCTTTTCAAGTAAATCACCCAGTTTCAAGTATTCTGTTAAAGCAACAGCAAACAGACTAAGACACTTGGAGAGGTCTCCCTAATACCCTCTCTGGAGTAGGTCTTCCGGGCTGTTCCAGTTCTCATTTCCCTCTTTGGCCTTCTTAGCTCTTGTCAAATTTGTAATTACTCATTTGTGTGCTTCTTTGTTTATTACGGTCCCCACCAGATTGTAAACCCACGAGGGCAGGGGCTGTCTCTGTTTGGTTCACTGTGCATATCTAGCATCTGGCACATTGTGGGAATCTATTCATAGCTGTTGGATGAATGACTGAGGGCAGAGTCAGAACAGAGGATGAGGATAAAGAGGATGAAAATAAAGTGGAGGGGACAGGTGGCTGCATGTGGATAGGTAGACCCATGTTTGGGTTTCCTCATTGGCTGTGCTGTGTGCGTTCTGGTTCTCAAGAGCTACCAGAATATACCTGGGCTCCTGCCTATGCCCTAGGTTCCTGCTCAACCTGCCCTTGCCCCTTCTGAGTCCTTGTATTAATCACCTACTAGGTACCAGGCCCTGCACTAGGTGTGGGTGACAGACGTGTCTTGGGCCCAGTCTCACCCTCAAGGACATCACAGACCCACAGAGGAAACAAGGCTTGTAGAGCAAAGAGAAACAGGGGCAAATTCAATGGGATGAGTGCAGAGAAAGGGCAGGGGAATAATGTCATATTGGAGAATCAGGCAGGTTTCAGAGAAGAGGGGGCATTCTGGTTAAGCCTTGAAGGAGGAATATGATTTCACTGGATGAAGAAGTGGAAGGAATTCTGGTCTGAGGTAACAGCAGCTGGATGGATGAACAGCAAGCAGTGTGTGTGTGTGTGTGTGTGTGTGTGTGTGGCTGCAGCATAAGGCGTGCATCTCAGGTACTGTGCTAAACAATTTGATGCTCTCGACCACTCTGCAATTTTTTTTTCATTTTACTTTTTCCAAAAACTTTCCCCATTTTCCATTTTACAGATGAGGAGACTGAGATTCAGAGGGGCCATCTAGGGTAGCCAAGGTCACACATCGAGAAAGCAGTGAGGGTTATGGAGGGCCAGGAAAGGGTGTGATGTGAGAAGGGGATTTCTCTGGAGGCTGCATGTGGAATCTGGCTCAGGGTGGGTAGAGACCCATGAGTAGCTGCTGCACAGCATGGTGAGGGATGAGAGGAGGGCTTTGGGGGTAGAAGGCTCCCAGCTCCTGTGCTGTCTTTGAACACGTGCAGCCCATTCATCCTAGAGAGGAACGAGGAGGCAGCTCTCAGGGAGAAAGGCCATGAACTCCAGGTGACCATGCAAATGTTCCTGAGAAGCATCCCCTCTCCTCACCCTGTTCCCATACTAAGTCCGGGACATCCTTTTCTCAAAGGAGACTAATTGATAATCCAGGGTGATAAAATGTTATCACTGTCATTCCATTGAAATGCAATAGCAATGCCCTATAAATGTTCTATAAATCACCCAGAGCTTAAAGAGGAGAGTGAAATGAGCATTGCATTATAAACCACAGAGCCCATTAATCACATGGCTACAAACCATAAATATGACAAGTACATCCATCAATCCTGCACCTTTCTTTCTGGTCTGCAAATGCACGCATTAGCAACTTAATGGATTTAGAAGGCATTTTCTCCTGTAGACTCAGAAACAGAGAGTATTTTATTATTAGCCTCCTGGGCTTAAAAGGAAGGGAAAAAGAAGTCACCTTTCACCACAGTACTCGGGGGCACTACAGGGGGTGTCCAGGCGGTGGCTACAGCCACTGACTCTGCCTGAATTCTGAAGACATCAGAGACCTGGGAGCCTGGCCTTGGGCAGTAACAAGACTTTTGGGGGGCCATGACCTGCCCTGCTTCCTGGCCTCCACCTGCTCCTGGATCACACAGCTGCAGCTCCTTGACCTGAAGGTTCAGGCCTGCCCCAGGCTTCTGGGCCAATCTTTCCCTCAGATTAGAGGGATTGATGTAGCTTGAGTTTATAATAACAAAACTGCATTTTCATTTCATTTTTGCTGCTAGAGTTACTCTGATTTTGTGTCTTAATGATAGGCTTCTTTCTTCTTTCTCAGACTGCATTCCTACCTGGCTCTGAGAAACCAACAGACATAGTCCTTGCCCTTTGGGGCTCACCATTGAAGGGGAGGTACACACCCCATGTGTGGAAATGCAGAGACAGAAAGGTCCAGAGATGGCGAGAGACCTGGTTCTCCTCCTGGTCATGGGAGTCCTTCCTTGTCACTCCCACTCTGACCTCAGGGCTGGGGTCTTGCTGGATTTATGGATTTCAGCCTTTGGCTGGGGCATCTTGTCTGCAGACTTTCCTGAGGATTGCATGATGGGTTCAGCTCACAGGTGTGGGAGCAGATGCGCTCTTTCCATTGCCTGATGAAGAGAGACAGTGTCTCAGATGAATAGGACAAAAGTTTTGAAGTCAAACAGGTCTAAATTTGGATGCCAGCTGTGTGACCTTGGGCATGTCACTTTGTGACTCTGAACCTCGGTTTTCTTCCCCATGCATGCAAGTAGTCTGTCTCTCAGAGTTTGTACTACTAGTAACTGACATGTATTAAGTCTTTCACGGTACTTAGCCAGTGCTGTGCTAAGTACATTACCCTATAAAGCTCATTCTGTTCTCAAAACTGCTGTGAGGGGCTCATGGGAGCCTCGACGTGGCTGGGGTGGGGGCTGTAGTTGAGAAGACCTAAACCTCCAGGACAGTGGTTCTCAGTTGGGGTGATTCTGCTGCCTATGGGGCATTTGGCAATGTCTGAAGTAATTTTTAGTTGTTTCAACTGGGTTATCTAGTGGGTAGGGCCAGAGATGCTGCAAACCTCCTGCAATGTACAGGACATCTCTCCCAGGCTGATGAAGAATTATTTGACCTAAAATGTCAGTAGAGCTGAATTTGAGAAATGGTGCTCTAGGAGAAGCAGGCTGGCAGTAAAGCCAGGGGATCATAATTTCCAACTCAGCTGCGGTGCAGAATGCTAGTCTAACTGGGTTATGACCCAGACCCTTTCTGCAATGGGAAATGTCTCTGAAAGCAGGCCAGTGACGCCTTGGTTCCATCCTCTGGGCTGGGCTTCCTTCCTGCAGTTCCATCCCTCTCCCACTACCTCACTCCCACCCACTCCATCCCTCTCCAAACATTCGCTGAGCACCTGCTTCATCCAGAAGGATAAGACCCAGCCCCCAGCCAGGAGCAGACAGCGCACAGCCCAGGGAGGGAGAATGGCACAGAATCAGATGTAAAGAGATAAACAAAGAAACTTAGCAGCCAGCATGGGGGCTCCCCTAAGGGAGAGAGGGTCTTCATTTGGGAAAGTGCCTTGGTAGGGCTCAAGCTTCAGTACTGAGATCACAGTGTTGAGCCCCCACATCCCAAAGTGGAGGTTCTGCCAGGGCTCTCGTGCTGGACTTCACATCCTAGTCATCTCATGAGATGGGCCCCGCCTCTCACCAATTAAATGAGAATTTCAGGGACATCTGCCGTTTGAAAGCTCCCCAGGGGATTGGAATGAGCAGTCAGTTGAGAAGCACATGGCTTTGCCTGGCCAGTCTCTGAGACAGATGCCAGGTGTGCACCACATCCCACAGGTAAGTGTCATTTAGTACGTTCAGGAGTCTGGTCTGCTTAATGTCTGCTTAAGGTGGCTCTGATATCTTGCAGGTGCAGGATTTCAGACGAGTAGCCACCTGGATGAGATACTGATTTTCCTGCTGAGTAGGAGTTGAAACAGAATGGAGGGTGGAGAGAAAGGAACCAGAAACATGGAAGAAAACTGGAACCAGGTGAGGACAAGGGCCAGGGGATTTCCCGTGGGAGGGGGCCCTGCTGCTTCCCTGTGGTTGTTTGCCTTGCTGCAGTGGGAACCCCTCTGATCCCCTGCCAATCTTCACAATGTGTTTCTGTGAGCAGCATTTTATGTAAGTGTGTGTAAACTGAAGAGGGGGCAAAATCTCACATTCCGGTTGGTGGTAGGCAGAGCAAGGCACCTACAAAGAAGCAGGGAGCCCACAGGCATCAGAGGTCAGAAAGCATCAGCTCAGGAACAGCAGACATCTTGGGTGAGGGTCTTTGTTTTGAGATGGAATTTCACTCTTGTTGCCCAGGCTGGAGTGCAGTGGCACGATCTTGGCTCACTGCAACCTCTGCCTCCCGGATTCAAGCAATTCTCCTGCCTCAGCCTTCCGAGTAGCTGGAATTACAGGTGCCCACCACCATGCCCTGCTAGTGTTTTGTATTTTTAGTAGAGATGAGGTTTCACCATGTTGCCCAGGCTGGTCTCGAACTCCTGACCTCAAGTGATCCACCCGCCTCAGCCTCCCAAAGTGCTAGGATTACAGATGTGAGCCACCGTGCCTGGCCCAAGTTGCTTAGCTTTCTCTTGCTATAAAATTGCCCAGATCCAAGGAATTAAGACAATAAACGCCGATTTCTCGTTTATGTGCAGACCTCTGTGGAGGCTCCTATTAGGCAGGTCTCTTCCCAGTACTGACTCAGGGCTTTGATTCCTTCCATCTGTAGCTCACACAGAGCATCTGAGGAGGAGAGGGAAGAAAAGCCTGCAGGAGCCCCTTTTGCCCTTGACTGCCCTGTCCTGGAAGTGACCCCTCACTTCTGCTCAGATTCCATCAGTGAGAACGAGGCACAGGGACCCACCGAGACACCAATGGGCTGTGGGCTGAGGAAGAGGTGAGTTTCATGAGCATGTGACCAGTCTGTGATGCAGAACCCCATTGTCCTCTGTGTTCCATACGTGAGTCACTCAGTAGGAGAGGTGTGCGGAGGCACATGGGAGAGAAGAGTTTGCTTAGTCTGGGCAAGTTTTGGAAGGCTTCCTGGAGGAGGTGCTGCTGAACCTGGTCTGCAGAAAAAGCCAGAGATAAGGGCCAAGAGGGCCAAGGAATGTGATTCAGTCTGCGTCTCCATGCCTTTGCAGGTGCATTAGTGTACGTTGCTGCTGTAACAAATCACCACAAGGCTAGTGGCTTGAAAAAACACAAATGGTGTTACCTTTCTGTAAGTTAGAAGTCTGAAGCATGTCTCACTGAGCTGAAAATCAAAGTGTTGGTGGGGCTGCTTTTCTTCTTGGAGGCTCTAGGGAAGGATCAGTTTCCTTATCATCCCCAGCTCCAGGGGGCTGCCATATGCCTCAGCCCTCCCTCCATCTACAAGGCCAGCAATATCCCAGCTCTCTGGCATTCTTATGTAGTCTCATCTCCCGCTGACCACAGCCAGGGGAGTCTCTGAGTTTAAGGACTCATGTGATTAGATTGGGCCCGCCTGGGAAATCCAGGCTAATTGCCTTAACCTTAATCACATCTGAGAAGTCCATTACCTTAAAGTGACATATTCGCAGGTTCTGGGGATTAAGACATGAATGTCTTTGGTGGGCTTGGGGGGCAATCTACCTACCACACACATGCAATTCCTTCTACCTGAAATGTCCTGCCTTCTCTTTGTCTATCTGGCTAACCTCTATGCATCTTTGAAGACCCATTCAAATAACTTTCCCATCACTCATTGAGGAGTTAGTCTCGCCTTCAGCATGTTTCTGTTGTGCCATTTGTATCCTACTGTAATTACTAGTGTACTTCCCCCAATCCCCATGGCAAAGTCTTTGGGGTCAGGGTCTCTGACTTAGTTATCTCCATATCTTTAAAATCTACCATAATGTTGGACACAAATGTGCCCTGTGTTTGTGGAATAAATGGCTAATATATACATATATATATACATATATATATATATATATGTATATATATATAATTTTACAGTGTTCTATTCAGAAAGGGCAGAAGGCTTATATTATATAATTTAAAAGGAAATATTATCTCAGCCTAATTGTTCCTGTAGGATCTCAACTTTCATCTGAAGGCTTTTTTTTTTTTTTTTTTGACATGGAGTCTTGCTCTGTTGCTCAGGCTGGAGTGCAGTGGCATGATCTTGGCTCACTGCAACCTCCGCCTCCTGGGTTCAAGTGATTCTCCTGCCTCAGCTTCCCAAGTAGCTGGAATTACAGGTGTGTGCCACCATGCCCCGGTAGTTTTTGTATTTTTAGTAGAGACAGGGTTTTGCCATGTTGGCCAGGCTGGTCTCAAATTTCCCTCTGTTTGTCTGTTATTGGTGTATAAGAATGCTTGTGATTTTTGCACATTGATTTTGTATCCTGAGACTTTGCTGAAGTTGCTTATCAGCTTAAGAAGATTTTGGGCTGAGACGATGGGGTTTTCTAAATATAAAATCATGTCATCTGCAAACAGGGACAATTTGACTTCCTCTTTTCCCAATTGAATACCCTTTATTTCTTTCTCCTGCCTGATTGCCCTGGCCAGAACTTCCAACGCTATGTTGAATAGGAGTGGTGAGAGAGGGCATCCCTGTCTTATGCCAGTTTTCAAAGGGAATGCTTCCAGTTTTTGCCCATTCAGTATGATATTGGCTGTGGGTCTGTCATAAATAGCTCTTATTATTTTGAGATACATCCCATCAATACCTAATTTATTGAGAGTTTTTAGCATGAAGGGCTGTTGAATTTTGTCAAAGGCCTTTTCTGCATCTATTGAGATAATCATGTGGTTTTTGTCTTTGGTTCTGTTTATATGCTGGATTACATTTATTGATTTGCGTATGTTGAACCAGCCTTGCGTCCCAGGGATGAAGCCCACTTGATCATGGTGGATAAGCTTTTTGTGCTGCTGGATTCAGTTTGCGTATTTTATTAAGGATTTTTGCATTGATGTTCATCAGGGATATTGGTCTAAAATTCTCTTTTTTTGTTGGGTCTCTGCCAGGCTTTGGTATCAGGATGATGCTGGCCTCATAAAATGAGTTAGGGAGGATTCCCTCTTTTTCTATTGATTGGAATAGTTTCAGAAGGAATGGTACCAGCTCCTCCTGTACCTCTGGTAGAATTTGGCTGTGAATCCGTCTGGTCCTGGACTTTTTTTGGTTGGTAGGCTATTAATTATTGCCTCAATTTCAAAGCCTGTTATTGGTCTATTCAGAGATTCAACTTCTTTCTGGTTTAGTCTTGGGAGGGTGTATGTGTCAAGGAATTTATCCATTTCTTCTAGATTTTCTAGTTTATTTGTGTAGAGGTGTTTGTAGTATTCTCTGATGGTAGTTTGGACTTCTGTGGGATTGGTGGTGATATCCCCTTTATCATTTTTTATTGCGTCTATTTGATTCTTCTCTCTTTTCTTCTTTATTAGTCTTGCTAGCAGTCTATCAATTTTGTTGATCTTTTCAAAAAACCAGCTCCTGGATTCATTGATTTTTTGAAGGGTTTTTTGTGTGTCTATCTCCTTCAGTTCTGCTTTGATCTTAGTTATTTCTTGCCTTCTGCTAGCTTTTGACTGTGTTTGCTCTTGCTTCTCTAGTTCTTTTAATTGTGATGTTACGGTGTCAATTTTAGATCTTTCCTTCTTTCTCTTGTGGGCATTTAGTGCTATAAATTTCCCTCTATACACTGCTTTAAATGTATCCCAGAGATTCTGGTATGTTGTGTCTTTGTTCTCATTGGTTTCAAAGAACATCTTTATTTCTGCCTTCATTTCGTTATGTACCCAGTAGTCATTTAGGAGCAGGTTGTTCAGTTTCCATGAGTTGAGCAGTTTTGAGTGAGTTTCTTAATCCTGAGTTCTAGTTTGATTGCACTGTGGTCTGAGAGACAGTTTGTTATAATTTCTGTTCTTTTACATTTGCTGAGAAGTGCTTTACTTCCAACTATGTGGTCAATATTGGAATAAGTGCGATGTGGTGCTGAGAAGAATGTATGTTCTGTTAATTTGGGGTGGAGAGTTCTGTAGATGTCTATTAGGTCCGCTTGGTGCAGAGCTGAGTTCAATTCCTGGACATCCTTGTTAACTTTCTGTCTCATTGATCTGTCTAATGTTGACAGTGGGGTGTTAAAGTCTCCCATTATTATTGCGTGGGAGTCTTAAGTCTCTTTGTAGGTCTCTAAGGACTTGCTTTATGAATCTGGGTGCTCCTGTATTGGGTGCATATATATTTAGGATAGTTAGTTCTTCTTGTTAAATTGATCCCTTTACCATTATGTAATGACCTTCTTTGTCTCTTCTGATCTTTGATGGTTTAAAGTCTGTTTTATCAGAGACTAGGATTGCAACCCCTACCTTTTTTTGTTTTCCATTTGCTTGGTAGATCTTCCTCCATCCCTTTATTTTGAACCTATGTGTGTCTCTGCACTTGAAATGGGTCTCCTGAATACAGCATACTGATGGGCCTTGACACTTTATCCAATTTTCCAGTCTGTGTCTTTTAATTGGAGCATTTAGCCCATTTACATTTAAGGTTAATATTGTTATGTGTGAATTTGATCCTGTCATTATGATGTTAGTTGGTTATTTTGCTCATTAGTTGATGCAATTTCTTCCTAGCCTCGATGGTCTTTACAATTTGGCATGTTTTTGCAGTGGCTGGTACCAGTTGTTCCTTTCCATGTTTAGTGCTTCCTCCAGGAGCTCTTGTAGGCAGGCCTGGTAGTGACAAAATCTCTCAGCATTTGCTTGTCTTTAAAGGATTTTATTTCTCCTTCACTTATGAAGCTTAATTTGGCTGGATATGAAATTCTGGGTTGAAAATTATTTTCTTTAAGAATGTTGAATATTGGCCCCCACTCTCTTCTGGCTTGTAGAGTTTCTGCTGAGAGATCCACTGTTAGTCTGATGGGCTTCCCTTTGTGGGTAACCCGACCTTTCTCTCTGGCTGCCCTTAACATTTTTTCCTTCATTTCAACTTTGGTGAATCTGACAATTATGTGTCTTGGAGTTGCTCTTCTCAAGGAATATCTTTGTGGCATTCTCTGTATTTCCTGAATTTTAATGTTGGCCTGCCTTGCTAGGTTGGGGAAGTTCTCCTGGATAATATCCTGCAGAGTGTTTTCCAACTTGGTTCCATTCTCCCCGTCACTTTCAGGTGCACCAATCAGACGTAGATTTGGCCTTTTCACATAGTCCCATATTTCTTGGAGGCTTTGTTCATTTCTTTTTACTCTTTTTTCTCTAAACTTCTCTTCTCACTTCATTTCATTCATTTGATCTTCCACCGCTGATACCCTTTCTTCAGTTGATTGAATTGGCTACTGAAGCTAGTGCATTCGTCTTATAGTTCTCCTGCCATGGTTTTCAGCTCCATCAGGTCATTTAAGGAGTTCTTTACACTGGTTATTCTAGTTAGCCATTTGTCTAATCTTTTTTCAAGGTTTTTAGCTTCTTTGCGATGGGTTCGAACTTCCGCCTTTAGCTTGGAGAAGTTTGATCGTCTGAAGCCTTCTTCTCTCAACTCAACAAAGTCATTCTCCGTCCAGCTTTGTTCCATTGCTGGTGAGGAGCTGCGTTCCTTTGGAGGGGGAGAGGCGCTCTGATTTTTAGAATTTTCAGCTATTCTGCTCTGTTTTTTTCCCCATCTTTGTGGTTTTGTCTACCTTTGGTCTTTGATGATGGTGACGTACAATTGGGGTTTTGGTGTGGATGTCCTTTCTGTTCGTTAGTTTTCCTTCTAACAGTCAGGACCCTCAGCTGCAGGTCTGTTGGAGTTTCCTGGAGGTCCACTCCAGACACTGTTTGCCTGGGTATCAGCAGCGGAGGCCGCAGAACAGCGAATATTGCTGAACAGCAAGTGTTGCTGCCTGATCATTCCTCTGGAAGCTTCGTCTCAGAGGGGTACCCGGCCATGTGAGGTGTCAGTCTGCCCCTACTGGGGGGTGCCTCCTAGTTAGGCTACTCGAGGGTCAGGGACCCACTTGGGAGGCAGTCTGTCTGTTCTCAGATCTCAGACTCTGTGCTGGGAGAACGACTACTCTCTTCAAATTTGTCAGACAGGGACATTTAAGACTGCAGAGGTTTCTGCTGCCTTTTGTTCGGCTATGCCCTGCCCCCAGAGGTGAAGTCTGCAGAGGCAGGCAGGCCTCCTTGAGCTACGGTGGGCTCCACCCAGTTCGAGCTTCCCCGGCACTTTGTTTACCTACTCAAGCCTCAGCAATGGCAGGCGCCCCTCCCCAGCCTTGCTGCCGCCTTGCAGTTCGATATCAGACTGCTGTGCTAGCAATGAGTGAGGCTCTGTGGGTGTGGGACCCTCTGAGCCATGCGTGGGATATAATCTCCTGGTGTGCCGTTTGCTAGGACCATTGGAAAAGCACAGTATTAGGGTGGGAGTGACCCGATTTTCCAGGTGCCGTCTGTCACAGCTTCCCTTGGCTAGGAAAGGGAATTCCCTGACCCCTTTTGCTTCCTGGGTGAGGTGACGCCTCACCCTGCTTTGGCTCACGCTTGGTGGGCTGCACCCACTGTCCTGTACTCGCTGTCTGACAAGCCCCAGTGAGATGAACCTAGTGCCTCAGTTGGAAATGCAGAACTCACCCATCTTCTGCGTTGCTCACGCTGGGAGCTGTAGACTGGAGCTGTTCCTATTTGGCCATCTTGGAACTGCCCTCCATAAGTATACATTCTTAAAAATGAGACAATAATAAATGTATAGACTGCTTTTTAATTGCTCTATTAACTTTACATTTTTTCCATGCAAATGAGCAAAGTTCTACTGATGACAGAAACAGACTGGGTACAAAGGCTTTATTTATTGACATTTATCGATCATCTGCAAACATCAAGCTAGAAGCTGGAAGCACAAGACTCACCTGACACATGGAAATAACATAAGGTTCACAGCAAATGAGTAAAGACATATTAGGAAAATGCAAGGAAAAAGAAAACAATGGGAATCACAATATTAACCTCATGGAAAATGGCAGGAGTCCAGGCATTGGCAAAATTCATCATGATGGTCATGGGGATTACACAGCTTCCCATAAGGATACACAGACAATTCCTCAATTGTAGCTCCTTATTCTCTCCTGATTCCTCTCATCTCCTCCATGAACATTTCCATATCATCTCCACCTCTATTCATCCCATCATTGACCTGCCTATTGGGTATGGCCCATTGAAAATTAGGGGCCAATAAAAAAGAATGAGTTCATGTCCTTTGCAGGGACGTGGATGAAGCTGGACACCATCATTCTCAGCAAACTAACACGGGAACAGAAAACCAACCACTGCATGTTCTCACCCATAAGTGGGAGTGGAGCAATGAGAACACATCGACACAGGGAGGGGAACATCACATACTGGGGCCTGTCAGAGACGTGGAGGGAAAGGGGAGGGATATCATTAGGAGAAATACCTAATGCATGCGTGGCTTAAAACCTAGATGGGCCAGGCGTGGTGGCTCATGCCTGTAATCCCAGCACTTTGGGAGTCTGAGGCGGGTGGATGACGAGGTCAGGAGATCGAGACCATTCTGGCTAACACAGTGAAACCCCGTCTCTACTAAAAATACAAAAACAAAATTAGCCGGGCGTGGTGGCGAGTGCCGGTAGTCCCAGCTACTCGGGAGGCTGAGGCAGGAGAATGGCGTGAACACGGCAGGCGGAGCTTGCAGTGAGCTGAGATCGTGCCACTGTACTCCAGCCTGGGCGACAGAGCGAGACTCCATCTCAAACAAACAAAACAACAACGACAACAACAACAAAACCTAGATGACGGGTTGAAAGGTGCAGCAAACCACCATGGCACATGTATACCTATGTAACAAAGCTGCACGTTCTGCATATGTATCTCAGAACTTAAAAGAAACAAAGAAAATTAGGGGCAAGTTGGCGAGCCTGTTTCTGTTTATTCTTTCCTGTAGGCTGGAGGTCTTTCCTGTAGGAGGCGGTCTTTTCCTCCTCCCAAGGGTGGTCTTCCTCTCTATTCTGAATAGGCTTCCCTGTTTCTTTGTTTTCCTGGTGGATGTTGGCCACCATGAGACTTTTTTCTGGTTGTTTTTCTGCTCTGTTTTCCCGAGTCCTGATGACTGTTAGCATTTTGATGTATTTCCTTCCACTTTTTTTTTTTTTTTTGATATGGAGTCTCGCTCTGTCACCAGGCTTGAGTGCAGTGGCACGATCTCGGCTCACTGCAACCTCCGCCTCCTGGGTTCAAGTGATTCTCCTCCCTCAGCCTCCCGAGTAGCTGGGACTACAGGTGTCTGCCACCACAGCTGGCTAATTTTTTGTATTTTTAATGGAGACGGAGTTTCCACCAGCCAGGATGGTCTCGATTTCCAGACCTTGTGATCCGCCCTCCTCGGCCTCCCAAAGTGCTGGGATTACAGACGTGAGCCACCGCGCCCAGACTCTTCTACCTTCTTTTCTATGCCCATGCTTATATATTCCAAAAGTACACGTTTTTGCCTACGGATATTATGACATATTCAGTTTTCCCGGCTTGTATTTTCAGTCAACATCATATTAGAAGAAATTCTTCATGCCATTGAAGTGTTTTTTGAAAACATGACTTCTAACGCCTGCATGTATTTCATTATGTTAACATACCTTCACTTAGCCATTTCCTTGTTTGACAACCGGGTTGCTTCCAATATTTCTCTACTGTAATTAATCCTGTGATGACTATTCCTGTATAGGTACTGTGTTCATATCTTTAATTATTTTCTTGGGTTAAATTTCTAGGGATGAAATTATAGGGCCAAAGGATATGAACTTTTTATGACTATTGTTACATATTTCAAAGAAAATTGGACACATTTACCTGCTTATCAGCAAGTGAATCTGCTGTGGTCTGAATATTTGTGTCCTCCCAAAATTTATATGTTGAAATCATAACCCTCAAGGTGGTGGTATTAGGAGGTGGGGCCTCATGACCCCTAGGTCATGAGGGTGGGACTCTTGTAAAAAGATTGGTGCCCTTATAAAAGAAACACGAGGGAGGCCTCTTGCCTTTTCCACTGTGTGAGGACACAGTGAGAAGTCACCGTCTCTGGGGAAATGGGTCCTCAGCATTACTGAATCGTCTAGTACCTTGATCTTGGACTTCCAGCCTCTAGAACCGTAACAAATAAATTTCTGTTATTTACAAACCACCTAGTTGATGGTATTTTGCTATTGCAGCCCAAGGAAACTAAGACAATATTATCTCAGCTTTTGACATGTTCTAATGAACACTCCTTAAGAGAAAACAACTCTGTTTATGTTATGGGTAAAAATTTGTGTCTAATTGTCATTTTTAGGTACATGTCTTTGTTAATGAGGGTTTGCAGTATTTTGTTTATTAAGAGAAAAGTGACTTATTTTTTCCTTTATGAACAGTCTGTTTATGTTCTTCGCTCATTTATCTACTGGGGTTAATGTTTTTTTCTTCTTACCTATTTGTATGATATATTTGAATATAATAATATTAATCCTGGTTCTGTAATACTTGTGGCAAACCTGTTCTTTTTGTTCAAAGCTTCTTTTCAAATAGGGGCAGGGAGCTGGTGTCATTCAGGTTAACTCCCAACCCTGCCAGTTTCCTCTGGTAATGGCCCACATCCTTCTCCGTAGAGTTAGCCCCTGACCTGCAACCCCTGGCTCGCTGAATCCTTCATTTTGTCTTCAAAAGGAGTTGAATTTTAAGCATCTTTCTTGGTCCTCTGGGAGCAAAACCACTTTGCCAGCTTGAGATCATTCATTTCCCCATTTCTTTCCTCTCTTCCATTCCTCATAAATAATCCCTGGCAATTATTAAGCATTTTTGTGTTGCCTTAGACTTTTGAGTGCTTAATGATCCTTTAGTGGTTCAGCAGAGAAAGGAGAATCTTTCCTTCCTTCTCCCACCCCCTTTGAAAATTCTGGGCTGTAGGAATCTTTTTAATGGACTCACAGCTCTTGGAAGGGAAACAGATCAACAGATCCTGGACATTGTCCATCACCCGGTCCAGATCCGGTAATTTCAGTGTGGGGGAAAAAAGGCCAGAGAAGGCAGAGGAGTCATGTGGGATCTCACAGATGCTTGGTGATGAAGCCATACTTCACAAAGTGAGGACTGAGGAAATAGAGAGTTATATCCTGGAGAAGGCAGTAGACTAAGGAGATGGCACACGTGGAAACAGCCCCATAGAAACATGTTCTTAGCAGCATGGCATGTTGTGGTTACAGCTCCACCAAAGCAGAAATGGAGACAGCACTGTCCTCCCTGGACCTGGGAGAGTCAGGAGCTGGGCACAACGTGGGCACAGAATGGGACTGGAGATGGCCCAGGACGAGCGCTATGGGCAGTCAGGGACAGGGATGGCTGTAGAAACTTTATGATGCTCTTGTTTCAGAAAAGGGAAGGCCTAGGCAACTCCACTTAGTCCCCCATCCATGGAGGCTTAGGAGGCAGAATGGCCTGCTCTTTACCCCTGTGGGAGTAGAAGGTGTAGGGGAAGGAAAGGGCTCTGGGAGTCTTTGGAGCCCAGCTTCCTGACGGTGCTGAATGTTGCATCTTAACCATGCAGCTCTCTGGCAATGCAGGCAGAGGAGCAGCAACCATACTTTACCTGCCCTGGCCTCAGGGTCAGGCCTGCTTACCCACCTTTCCACCCAGCCCACCCTCGCCCCACAGGACCCCGATCCAAGGCCCTCGTGCAGGCCCCTGCACAGCAAAGAATTCTCTTTGCAGCACTTCCCCTG
Organism: Homo sapiens; assembly: GCF_000001405.40. Classification (NCBI taxonomy): domain Eukaryota; kingdom Metazoa; phylum Chordata; class Mammalia; order Primates; family Hominidae; genus Homo; species Homo sapiens. Next base: position 35,161,617 of record NC_000022.11, on the reverse strand, counting down.
GAGGCTCCCCTTAACTCTCCCACTTGCAGCTCCTTATCCAAAGGTGTAAGTCTTCTTTCTAGTTCTCTCTCCTCTCCCCTTGCTACTGCCTTGGGGTGCCAGGTGAATTCTCTTCTCCCTACCTTTCTCATGGACAGGCAGTCCCAAATTTAAAAACATATTTAGGCCAGGTGTGGTGGCTCATGCCTGTAATCCTAGCACTTTGGGAGGGCAAGGTGGGCGGATCACTTGAGGTCAGGAATTTGAGACCAGCCTGGCCAACATGGTGAAACCCTATGTCTACTAAAAATATAAAAAATTAGCTGGGCGTGGTGGCACGCGCCTGTAGTCCTAGCTACTCGGGAGACTGAGGCAGGAAAATCGCTTGAACCCGGGAGGCGGAGGTTGCAGTGAGCTGAGATCGCGCCACTGCACTCCAGCCTGGGCAACAGAGCGAAACTCCGTCTCAAAAACAAAAACAAAAAATTACCCTGGTGTGGTGGCACGTGCTTGTAATCCCGGCTATTTGGGAGGGTGAGGCATGAGAATCGCTTGAACCTGGGAGGTGGAGGTTGCAGTGAACCAAGATCGTGCCACTGCACTCCAGCCTGGGTGACAGAGTCAGACACTTTCTAAAACAACAACAAAAACATATTTAATATTTTCTCATATTCTTATCTTACTATTTTCTGCTAATGTCTCTATTGCTGATGCTTCCTTCATTCATTCAGAACATATTTATAAAGCACAAAGCACTGGGTGCAGTTTTTCACACCTGTAATCCCAGCACTTTGGGAGACTGAGGCAGGCGGATCACTTGAGGTCAGGAGTTCGAGACCAGCCTGGTCAACTTGGCGAAACCCTGTCTCAACTAAAAATACAAAAAACAGCCAAGCATGGTGGCACATGCCTGTAATCCCAGCTACTCAGTAGGCTGAGGCAGGAGAATCACTTGAACCTGGGAAGCGGAGGTTGTAGTGAGCCGAGATTGCGCCATTGCACTCCAGCCTGGGCGATAGAGTGAGATTCCATCTCAAAAAAAGAAAAAGAAAAAAAGAAAGCACAAACCTTGCTGCTAGACAGGGATTAAAAAGACAAACCATGCAAGCAGAGAAGGGGGACTGCTTTGAGAAATACACAGGAAGTGAAGTCAATACTGGGATGTGGGGAAGAATGGTATTAGGACATCTGCTAACCCACCTTTGAGAAAATTAGAAACTTTGTTGCCATCTGCCAGGAAGTGGTTGTAATAAATAGAAAAATCTATGCTGTCATGAATGGCGGGCTGTCTCAGGCATGTCCTTCTCATGACAGCAAATGGAAGCGTGAGAACAAAATGAGCAGGTGCGTTCTCATGCTTCTGGACAAAGCCCCGTCACAGAGCCCAGAGTCAAGGGTGTGGGGCAGTTACCTGGCAAAGGATATGGATACTTGGAAGGAGGAAGAATTGTTCTGTTACAGAATCGGTTAGCCAGTCTGCTACAGAATATAGGTTTTTTTTTTTTGAGACAGTCTCGCCCTGTCGCCCAGGCTGGAGTGCAATGACGCAATCTCGGCTCACTCCAACCTCCACCTCCCGGGGGAAAGTGATTCTCCTGCTTCAGCCTCCCGAGTAGCTGGGACTACAGGTGTGCACCACCACGCCCAGCTAATTTTTGTATCCTTAGTAGAGACGGGGTTTCACCATATTGGCCAGGCTGCTCTCGAACTCCTGACCTCGTGACCCACCTGCCTCAGCCTCCCAAAGTGCTGGGATTACAGGTGTGAGCCACTGCGCCCAGCTGGTGTTTTTTTTTGTTTGTTTGTTTGTTTGTTTGGTTTTTACTCTGCAAGAGTAGAGTATTTTGGATTTGGGGGCTTATGGGCATCCCACATATCCTAATCTAGGGGTGAGTGGAAGGTCATAGAGCACATTCTCAGGAGGCTTTCCATTCTTACAGAGATGAGCTGGACATGACCCATTTGATAAGTTTGGAAAAGCTGCCTTCTAGTGAGCCGTAACACAGCCATGGACAGGGAGACAGTCATGTGAGCTGTAGAGAGCTGTAGAGAACATTAAAGACCGGAACTAAATATAGCTCTGAATTTATTAGTATTACCAACTACCCCAAAAGCTCCATCCCCAGGGACTGAGATACACAACATCACCTCAGAATCCTTAGCAGAGGCTTCCAGGAGGAGCTCAGATCCCTCTGGAGGGCTTCATAGAATTGTTGCTGCACAGAGTGGAGCTGAGGCTACATTAGGCACCCTCATCTCAGTGCGGCTTCATGCAGGATCTCCACCCCCACCTTGCAGGCGCCCTGGGTCCAAGCCTAGAGGGATGTTGATTTTCCCATGATGGCCCAACACCCCATCCCCAGCTAGTAAATGGCAGGGCCAAAGCTTCAACCTCTGCTCAAGCCACTGCCTGTGAAAAGTTCTGACAACTTCATACAGAGCCTGAGATATGTAAGAGCTCAGGAAATAGCAATTAATATTCTAATAATAATACTTTGTAGATAAATATGAATGAATAACTATTGAGTATCTCCTAGGCTTCACGCACCGTATGAAGCACTTTCCTTGAAGTGACTTTAGCAGCTGGGATTGTCATCCTCATAGATGGGGAAACAGACCAGAGAGGTTAAGTGACTTGTCTAAATCCTCCTCTGGAGGTAAATTTAATTTTAGGAGATGGTTTTGCTAACTTTGGGAAAAATAAACCATGCATTCAGTTTGCTCATGAGACTTTTAGCAATGGCATATTTAGAGGTGAGAGATAATTGGAAATTCTATGGAAAAAAATGGAAAAAGTACTTGGAATAAAATAAAATACCCTTGCCTCAAGTTTTTTACCTGTTGTTTTTTTTTTCCTCGAATGTTATTTCTTTGACAAGGAGTTAGAGCTTTGGGGCCTGCCGCTGACAGGAAGGCTGGTGGAGCCAGACGGAATGTGCAAAGTGTCCTATCTGTCCCTTTAATAACTCTTTGGCCCGGGTGACCTGTCACTATAAGCAAGGGGAAGGGAGAAAAATGAGCCAATTCATTTCTAAATGGCTCTGTAACTCCAGGGTGTTATCGAGCAGAGACAAAGGACACTCCATAATTCTTGGAAAGGGAATCAGGATCTCCGGGAAGCAGGCACAGGCTCCATCTGGTCTGCCGAAGCCTCCTGCCAACCAGGGATCCACGCTCCATAAATACACAGAGAGATAGATCTCCTGGCCCCATTGATTTCCCCTTGCCATTATTGATTGCATTCTTAGATAAGTGGGGACTTTTCGACCAGAACTAAACTCTCTGTATCTTTCTTGGAAGCCTTTGCAATGCCAAGGGTTTGGCTGAGGGAGGAAGTGCTGTCTGCCGTCTTCTCAGAATGCTACCCACCAGCTATGTCCTGGGTAAGAGAAAATAAAGGGCTCTCCCTGGGCCCCTCAGTTTTCCAGAACATGTCAAGTTGGGAGCTCTCCCAAGGGGAGAAGAAAATGGCTTCAACTGACAGAGCCTCTATAGGTGTTCTGTGTGGATGACATCAACTTTGTTTATAATCCCTTCAATTATGAATGCAGAAGGGTAAGTTTGCCCTTGGCAGAATTTCTCAAACTTTAAAATGCAAAGAGGTCCCTTGGCCATCTTGTGTGAAAGCAGCCTCTGATTCAGTAAGTCTGGGGTGGGTCCTGAACTGTGCCTTGCTGACAGGCTCCTGGGTGTGTGGGTGCTGATGCTGCTGGATCTGGGTCCCCACTCAGGTCAACTCTGTACTCTCTCAGGCTGTGCACGTGAGCCTTTGCTATCCTTCAGAGCTGCCTTTAAGTATTAATTCATTCATCAAGCATTTATTAGCTTCTACTGTGTGCCAGGCCCTGTGCTGGGCTCTGGATAGAAGATGAAGGGAACAGAGTGCTCACCTTCAAATTACTTACAGCTGGGTTGGAGACACTACTTTTCCAACAAGCACTGCTAATGCAATGTGATTGCAATGTGATTACGTCCTGAGCAAGGATGGAAGGCCCTGCTGCAGGACCCTTCTCAGGTGAGGGGCAATTAATTCTGCTGGGAGGCCTCAGGGAGGGGGATATTGAAGCTGGGTATTGAAGCATGAGGAGGAGCCTTTCAGATGAGAAAGTGGAGGCAGAGGATATGAGTATGAATGGCTGGAAGTTTGAAAGTTTGGCATTGCCAGGAAAACATGGATGCTAGTTGCAAATGCCCCCAACTAAGAGATGGCTGGCTGGATGTGGAGTGCTGATCTGGCTATCACCACCAGACTCGGAGTCCTTGAGGTCAAGAGCCTCATCTGGCTTATCTCTACTCCCCCAGCTCTGGCAAACGGTGCCCAGAAAATAATTAAACCAAAATGAAGTTGATTTGTTCATTTCTGGCAGAGGTGCTCATTCTTGAGTGTACATCAGAATGCCCTGAAGTGCTTGTTAAAAAGACTTATGGGCCCCACCCTCAGTGCTTCTGACCCCGTAGATCTGGGCTGGGGCCTGGTATTTGCACTTCTAACAAGTTTCCAGGCAATGCTGCTGTTGCAGAACCAGGAACCACCCTTTGTGGACCACCAATCAACATCCAACGTCATTGTTTTCAAGTAATTCCTCCTGAGGGAGGGGAGTGGGTGGTTCACAGAAGGCAATGTGGATTAATGTAGAAAGCATGGCCTTTAAAGCTGCATACACTAGGTTCAATAAAGTTCTGCCATCTGTGTAACCTTGTTTGGATCAGACATTCCATAATACCTACCTTAGGACTCTTTAGTCAAGTTTCAGGTGAGAGAAACCCAGCTCAATAAATAAAAAAGAAATGACTGGGCTGTATAACTCAGAAGTTTGGGTGTCTGGAGTCTGGTGTGCCTGGATCCAGGAAGTCAAATCATGCCCTCGGAACTCCGTCTCTTTCCACCCTTTGGCTAATCTTTCTTCTGTATTGATCCCATTCTCAGGCAGGCACTCTTCCTGTAGCAGCTAGGATGACCAGGTAGCTCCACAATGATATGTTTTGCATAGTTACTGATCCCAGAGAAAAGAGAAAAGAATATCTCCGTTTTCTAGTGTTTTTAGCAAAAGCCCCAGAGATTCCTTTGATTGGCCTGGGCTGGGTCATGTGCCCACTCCTGAACCAATCACTGAACCTGGGGTACGGAGAGCTCTGATTGGCCAAAACTTGGTCACACGGCTATTCCTTGAAAAGTAAGAGAGAGAGAGAGAGAGTGTGTGTGTGTGTGTGTGTGTGTGTGTGTGTGTGTGTGTGTGTGTGTAGGGTATTGTTCAGGCTGGCATGGATGGATGGGATTTTCCTGAAAAGCCGCTCTGTTGCCAGTGTGTGTGTGTGTGTGTGTGTGTGTGTGTGTGTGTGTGTGTGTAGGGTATTGTTCAGGCTGGCATGGATGGATGGGATTTTCCTGAAAAGCCGCTCTGTTGCCAGAAAAATGGGACAAGGAAAGGATGTATGCTGGGCACTTTAAAACTACCTCGCTTTCAAAGTATTCCAAAATCTAGAATCGTCATGTCACCATTTTAGAATTCCTCTCAGTCGGCATGGCTTAATGAGGTTTTTAAAGGACTGATAAGGACTTAAGAGCACCTCACGTTATATACTTAGGAGGACCAGGTAGTGTTTTACATATTTTACACATCAATTCACGTAGTCTTTCTAAGAGCCTTATAAAGTAGGGACTCTTCTTCTTTTTAACAGATCAGGAAACTGAGGCACAGAGAGGTTAAGTAACTTGGCCAAGGTCACAGAGCTAGCGAGTGGTAGAGACCAGCTGCAAACCCAGGCAGTCCAGCTGTCTGTGTGCCTAACCACTATGTCCGCAGCCTGCCTCTTGAGAATTTTGAAATCTTATTACTGGAAAATGCCTTGGAGATGATGTCAGCCAGCACCCCAACCCCTCCTCCCTGTTTATTTATTTATTTATTAACAATTGAGGACCAGAGAGGAGGATTCATTTACTTGAGGTCATGCAACCCAGTAATGGCACAACCAGGATGAGAATTTTTGTCTTTGAATGCTGACCCCAGAGTTGTTCTGCCCCACCATCCCTCTACTGCCTCCTACTGGGTTTTCTGGAAATAGTCGCTGTTCTTAAGCGTGTGCAGGAATCAACTTTCACGGTTCTCCACGACCACCAACCACCTGGAGCACCTTGTCCTTTGCATCCTGAGTACCTGGCCCTGTGTCTAGTAGCTTGTGCAGATACTGTTCCTATATGCAATTTTTTGGTAATACTGAAAGCTTTTCCTCATGTTTTACCCATTCTGACTCTATTTCTTTGGGTTAGATCAAGGGGAAGCTGGGCACACTGGAACCACTGACCACACAAAAGCAGCGTAGATGAGCCCTTGTAAATTGGCAACTGGTCAGCACAGCTCAGAAATTCCATTTTCCTCACCCCTCAAAGTGGGGTCTGAGGATATACAGTAGCAGGATTTGCTGGGAGCTCCTTGGAAATGCAGAATCTCAGGCCCCATCCCCATCGGCTTTTTAACAAGACCGCCAGGTGATTTGTTTGCCCGATAAGAAGTCTCATTGTCAACCTGACTCTTCGCCAGTCCTGGAGAGAGAGGAGAAAGTAGCCACTAGGTGGGGGTATTGCCTGGGCCGAGGACCAAATGGCTGGAGCAGTGGGATGCCTGCGAAGAAGAGGCGCGAGGAGCCAGGAGCGGCTCAGCCAGCCAGGCTTTGAGTTGCAAATGGCACAAATGTTTTGGATTTCAAATAGCATCCCCTCTGTCCGCACCCATGTATTCCCTTACTCCCAGTGGCTCTGGAATGTTTAAAAAAAATTCAAAGTAATCTTAAGGATAAAGATGTCCCCAACAGAGAAGATTCAAAGAAGGTGCCTCAGGCCCTGTAGACATCCTCAAAGCCAGGTTAACTTACCTTGTTGTTGAGGAGACAGAGGGTCCAGGTGGGAGGTGACTGACTTGGAATCCTCTCTGAGGATCTTTGACTACAAAGCCTGTGTCCATTCTGCCTCTGCACCTTGGCTCCAGAAATGTCCTGAGCATGGAGCACCTTGTTAGATTCAGTGTCTAGTTTGTACTGCGGACTTCTTTAAAAAGTGTAGGCACAAAGATCTGAGGCTGTAAAAGTTCTCTCCTTTTGTCCAGAAAAACTTGCTACTGGGCAGTGCAGGTCTAGACATCACACTGTCTCCCAAAGCTTTTTTTATTTTTTAGCTGTCTCTCAGATCAGGGACTGATATTCTTCCAGTCTCTGGCTCTGCCACTCACTGGCTGCATTTCTTGGGACAGGTCACTCAATCTCTCTGAGCCCTTGAGACGGGGATGATAGTGTCTGTCTCTCCGGTTTATTATAAGCATCAAAATCAAATGTCATATAAAGCAAAAGCACCTTCTAAGCTGCAGAGTACTGTAAAAAATGAGGGGCGACTGGGGATTTGGCCATTACGAGGAGATAAAGGGTAATTTTTTGCAGCAGGGTAGATAGCTGTTGACACCAACATCGTCTCAGCTGCAGAGGTCTCCTCTCTGTTTTCCCAGCTCCAGCTTCTGTCCCACTCTCGACACTGTAGCCAGAGTAATTTTTTTTTTTTTTTTTTGAGGTGGAGTCTCATTCTGTTGCCAGGCTGGAGTGCAGTGGTGGGATCTTGGCTCACTGCAACCTCTGCCTCCCGGGTTCAAGCGATTCTCCTGCCTCAGCCTCCTGAGTAGCTGGGACTACAGGCACGTGTCACCATGCCCAGCTAATTTTTGTATTTTTAGTAGAGACGGGGTTTCACCATGTTGGCCAGGATGGTCTCGATCTCTTGACCTCGTGATTTGCCCGCTTCGGCCTCCCAAAGTGCTGAGATCACAGGTGTAAGCCACCGCGCCCGGCCCAGAGTGATATTTTAAAGTAAAAAATCAGTGTATGACTCCACCCACCCCTTAAAACTCTCCAGCAGTTTCCCTTTTCCCTTAAAATTAAACCCAATTCCTTATCTGAGCTGCAAGGCTCTTCTGCTGCCTGCTCCTATGCAGGGGGTCCTGCTTACCCCTCACTCATCCCACCCCCTCTTACTCTCTGTCCCTCATTCCCACCTTAGGATCATTGCATTTGCTGCCCCTGAGCTTGCTTTAGGAGCGCTGGCTCTTTCTTTTCATTCAGACCTCCATTTACCTGTCACCTCCCAAATGAGCCTGTCTTGGGCCATGTGGTCTGAAGTGGCCATCTAGCCAGCCCCTCTCGACACAACACCTTATTGAAATCCTCTGCATAGCACTTCTCATTGTCCAATATTCCACTTGTTTATTAGTCTAGTCTCCACGACTAGAGTGTAATCAGCATTTGAGGGGGGATTTTGTCTGCCTTGCCCACCTTGTCTCCCTAAGGCCTAGAACGAGCAATGCCTGGCACATAGCAGTAGGCACTCCATGAATTTCTGTTGAGTGAATGAATGGCTGAATGAACACATCTACCACCCTGACTGCTGGGAATACTCCAAACCCAGTGGAACACCTAGACCCTTTGCACAGATAGGATACCTGTAGCCACTGTGCTACATGTGCTGCCATCTTGGCCCTTTGCCTTCTGCCTTGAGAGATTGGAGGAATTAGGAGGGGAACACGTGCTTTGTTATGTGAAAACATGCATTTCCTCCGAAGTCCCTTAATTCCTGAGAGTTGGGAGAATAATTAAATCCCATTTAATGATTCAGTGTTATCTCACACTTTGGGTTCTGTTGTAATTATTAAGTAGGATCAAAAATAAAACGTCCAAATATCATAATTAACTTTCAGATCAGAACAGATGTCAGCTTGGGGAGTACTCACACCTCTGGGGCAAGTCTCTTTTTCTTCTTCCTGCAGCTGCCTGCCTGTCCCTCACCTGTGTCTCCCCTCCCTTCATCAACTAGACGTGCATCCTAATGTGGTAGGAGTTATTAAGAAATTATTTTAGGCAGATAGGAAAAGGGGTCCTTGGAAAGTTTTCCTCTCTTAAAGCAGCTCCAGAAACATTTCTTGTCTAGCAGGAAAGCCCCAGCTCTTAGAGCCCACCGGCAACCTTTGATATGCAAATGCAGGCCATTAGAAAGTGGGTCCACCCAACATGGCGATTCCCACTGTTGTCCTCTTGCCCTTGCCCCTACATGTGCCTGGCAACATGGCCGCCCCCATATATCCCCATGTGTGTAGAACATCATGGCGTTCTGCATTTGCATATTAAAAGGGCAGGGTGGGAGGGCCAGTTTTTTCGTGGGCTACATGAATGACACGCCTGGTCAAACCACTCCCCTGAGGCCTATGCAAATCAGACACCATCTTCTCCAGCCTCTTCATATACCCGGCTGATTTCTGCTGCACTTGGGGTCTCCTTTCTCGGCTTTGGAGCCCCCCCATCTCTGTACAGGGGAGCTGCTTCCTTCTGGCTCCTCCTTTCTTTCTTGCCTATCAAACTCTCTGCTCCTTGAAACCACTCCATGTGTAGGCCGGGCGTGGTGGCTCACACCTGTAATCCCAGCACTTTGGGAGGCTGAGGCAGGCGGATCACGAGGTCAGGAGATCGAGACCACCCTGGTTAACATGGTGAAACTCCGTCTCTACTGAAAATAGAAAAAGATTAGCCAGGCGTGGTGGTGGGCGCACCTATAGTCCCAGCTACTCGGGAGGCTGAGGCGGGAGAATGGCATGAACCCAGGAGGCGGAGCTTGCAGCGAGCTGAGATCATGCCACTGCACTCCAGCCTGGGCAACACAGCGAGACTCCATCTCAGAAAAGAAAAAAAAAAGAAAAACCACTCCGTGTGTGTCCATGTCATTTTATCTAATTTGACTCGAGACGAAGAGCCCTGGTGTTCCTCCACTCATCAGAGCCGTGTCACTAATCCTATTTCTCTGCTCATGTGGTCAACATATATTCACTGAGCATTGCTTAGTGATAGACTTTTATGGAGAACAAGAGGGAGAGAGAGAACTCCTCCTCATCCTTCAAAGCTTAGCACAAACTTCACCTCTATTTACTGGCTTCCTGGGTTCTTTTTTTCCCCACTCTGTGGGAGTTGGGTTCTGCCTTATTCCGTATGGGGTTTGCACCCAGTGCTCAGTGGAAGACAGGCTGGACACGTGCATGTCAGTCCCCCCAACCCCACCCATGCCGACTGCACCTTGAGGATCATGCCTGCCTTGTGTCATCATAACCCAGTGCCTACAGCAGAGCCTGGTACTTACTAGGTGCTCAGTAAATATTTACTGGTGAATAAAAGTTCTTATTCATTTCTCTGTCTCTAAGAATGAGTCCATCGTTGGGCTCAGTAAATATCTGGAGAATAAATGAGCAAAGGAGGTATCTTCAGATATGGAGAGAAAGAGGGAGTGAGGCAGGGGAGAGGGAGGGGAGAAGCGGGCCAGGAGGCCAGGAAGGGAAAGGACTAGGGGTCGATGAATCAGCTGGGGCGGCCAAAACAGAGTACCGCACACTAGGCGGCTTAAAGAATAGAAATTCACTTCTCACAGTTCTGGAAGATCATCAGGGCAGCTTTCTTCTGAGACCTCTCTTGGCTGTAGAAGGCTGTCTTCTCCCCGGGTCCCCATGTGGTCTCCCTCCTGTGCGTGTCTGTGTTCTAATCTCCTCTTCTAATAAGGATACCAGGCACGTTGGTTAGTGCGCACTGTCATTACCTCACTCTACCTTAACTACCCCTTTGAAGGCGCTATCTTCAAATACAGTCGCATTCCGAGGTACTGGGATTTAGGGCTTCAACATACGAACTTTCACGGGGACAAAATTTAGCTGCAACTGGGCCCAAGGCCCCTTCTGTTACTATGATGGGGGCGGAAACTGAACCAAAAGACTCTAAGAGAGGAAGGGATAGTGACTTTTAGGCTGCATGGCTGGGGACAGTGATGGTGGCGTCTTCCTCCTCCTTTGGTTTCTCCGCTGCTTCCTCCCACATCTTTGACACTGGACAGTCACGCTGAGCTCGTTTCTGGTCTTGCCACCAGGGGGAGCCAGAGCTCATATTTCTGGCCCCACTGCAGGAAGCCAGACCTGCTGGGGCAAGCCAGGGGCTTCCCACCCGGTCACTGGCACAAATCCAGGACCCCAGTTCAGAGGCAGCAGAGTGGTACAAGCAGCCCTGTCCTGAATGTCTAGAGTCCTGGGTTGGAGGGGACTCCGTGGGTGCAGCGGGTGTCCTGAGGCTTGTCACTTGTCAGCATTTATAAGAGAGTGAAAGATACAGGACTGGGGAAAGGGAAAAGATGAGCCGCGATGCAATTAATGATGTAATAAACAGAAGCTCAGTTCTACCAAGGGAAGAGACTTTGCTTATGGGAAGCCACGACAGCTGGTCAATACATGCCACTGTTCCTTCTCGCCTGTTACGTAAGTTACCACCTTCCCACCATCGAATCAGAGGGCAGGGGACAGATGACATAACCTCCTGCAGTCCCTTCCAGCCCTAGTCCTTGGTGCTGTGAAATTGTGCAGTGTGGAGTTTCTAGTTGCTATAGAGTTGGGACAGACTTTAACTGTCGAAACTTGGGAGAAAGTTGTCCCACATTGTGTTCCTAAATAGACCAGTCACTGGATACAGATATCCCCTTGGGGAAGGGGGCAGGCATGACCTAAGACAAAGCCACTCCCTTCAACCCAGTGCAATTCCAGGAAAGGGGTCATGAGCCATCCCCAATCCTGGCAGCTGGGGGAAAGAAGAGAGAACCCCAATCCTAAAGGAGAGAGCTGGGTAGCACACAAGAGTGTCCACTACATACATTCACCACCTTTGATAGAAAAAGATGATTTGAAGGACTTGGCAAGAAGCCACAGTAAGGAGAATATTATGGCTGTTTTGATCATAGGATGAATATCTATAAGATTTAATAAGATACCAGAGTTGGGATGAGCCTTAGAGTTCATATAGTCCAGAGAGGTCTAGTGGCATGTATATGGCCACCGTCCCAGTCTTGGCCATAGCAGACATCCCCAGTGGAGCACAGCCATTCTCTGAAGAGTCCCGTGTAGCCTCCAAACCCTTCTCAGCATGACCTTCAGGCAGCCAGTCAAACAACACTGACCTGCAGAAGAAAACTTACTCCCTCATTTTCCAGAGGAGGCCCTGCTTAGAGGAGTTGCTTATTCCCCAGCACACAGTCAGTTCTGGAATGAGACCGAACTGGGATGGGACCCCCGGTGTTCTTTGTGACAGTGCCTGTCTCACTGGATACGTGAGTAAGCAGCAGAGACTCAGCTCCATCCTCTTTTTGAACATCTGCCTCACCACACAAGGCCATAGCAGTAGGCCTACTGGATCTGCTGAAGTCCTCGCATGCCCTGCTCTGACGGCCCTGCACAAGGAGCGGGTGGTTTGTACCTGTGCCAATTTCTATCATCCTTTCAGTGGGTTAGCAAGAGCTTAGAGTAATCTGTGGCCGAGGCGCCAGGAGGCCCTTCATTAAGCATTATGAGATAATCCTGATTGTATCAAGGAATCTTTCCCTAACTTGGGAGAAAAGAAATTGACATGCACAAAAAAGGCAGGGGAAACATCCAAAGCTGTCATCGTCTGTCATGCTGCTATTTTTATTCCTCTATGACAGCTGGAGATTATGGCCAGATGTGGTAGCTTGGCAGCCCCCTTGCAGAATGCCAGCTGGAAGGGGGTTAGGGAGCAGGGGGCAGAGCCCCTCTGTTCCACAAATGGGGGGGTGCCCAGAGCTGACAAGTGACAAGCCCCAGGACACCCACTGCACCCACCGAGTCCCCTCCAACCCAGGACTCTAGACATTCAGGACAGGGCTGCTTGTACCACTCTGCTGCTTCTGAACTGGGGTCCTGGGTTTGTGCCAGCGACTGGGTGGGAAGCCCCTGGCTTGCCCCAGCAGGTCTGGCTTCCTGCAGTGGGGCCAGTGCTATCAGCTCTGCCTGCATTCACATCTCCATCTCAGGGTCAGTTTCTAGTGAGCCCAATCCAAGAAGCAAGCTGATTCCTGCATGTCAATGACCTGGGTCACCTGGGTTTCCAGGCTTCCTGTTCACAGACCTTTGAGAGAAGCTGATCAACTGCCTGCACAGCCAGCCAAGGGAAGAGACCTTGCTTAGGAGAAGCCACGACAGCTGGTCAGCAGATGCTGCAGCTCCTTTTCAGCAAAGTTACCTAAGTTAAAACCTTCCCACCATCTAATCAGAGGGCAGGAGACAGATAAAGTATCCTCCTGCAGTCCCTTCCAATCCCAGTCCTTGGCGCTGTGCAATTGTTCAGTGTGGGCTTGTGTGCTGCAGTGTAGACTGGAGACCCAGGTTCTGATTGCTGCTCTGTTACTAACTTGTATGACCAGCGGCAAGTCACTCCGTCTGTCTGAGAAAACGGAAAACTGAAGGGACCAGTTGGATATTTGGCTTGAAAACTCACCTGCAGCCCCTCCACAATTGCTTCCCCGCAGTTCCCCATCACTTGTTCTTACTTAATCTTACTTCACTGCCCAATATGTAGAGGAGATTGCGGGGGAGCTGCTCTGCTCCATGAGGGATGGCTGGCCTGGAGTCTGACCTACTTGTCCTACGTAATCCTGCCTGAAGATGCCCCCAAAAGCCCTCTGAGGAGCAGGGTTTAAAGATTATTGACCAGGCTGGGTGCGGTGGCTCACGCCTGTAATCCTAGCATTTTGGGAGGCCAAGGCGGGTGGATCATCTGAGATCAGGAGTTCGAGACCAGCCTGGCCAACATGGTAAAACCTGACTCTACTAAAAATACAAAAATAACCCAGGCAATTCTCCAGGCTCAGGCAGGAGAATCGCTTGAACCCATGGGGCACGGTGGGGAGGCTGCAGTGAGCCGAGTTTGTGCCACTTCACTCCAGCCTGGGTGAAAGAGCGAAACTCTGTCTCAAAAACAAACAAACAAACAAAAGATTATTGACCAGAGGGTCTTCAAGTCCCTCCAGTATATACTCCTGTATTAGCTTCCTATGCCACTCAAAACTTGGTGGATTAAAACAACAGAAATTTATTTTCTCATAGCTTTGGAGGCCAGAGTCTGAAATCAAGGTGCCGGCAGGGTTGTGCTCCCTCCGGAGGCTCTGGGGAGACAGCATTCTGTGCCTCTCTCCTAGTTTCTGGTGGCTGCTGGCGACTTTGATGCTTCTGGGCTAAGTGGCCGCAACATTTCAATCTCTGCCTCCATCTTCATATTGTCTTCTCTTCTGTGTGTCTGTCTGAAATCTTTAGATTTGGGGCCCACCAGGATAATCCAGGATAATCTCCTCTTCTCAAGATCCTCTACTTAATAACATTTGCACAACCCCTATTTTCAAATAAGGTGCATCTACAAGTTCCAGGGATTTGGTATCTTCTGGGGGCCATTTTCCAGCCTGCCACACCTAATAGGGGTGGAGTGAGTCATTCCTGGGAGGCCAAGCTGCTGGCGGGAGACATAGCCTATTGTTAGGGCTTCCTAGGCCAATCCAGCATGAGAGCTGGGGGCAGTCTGGGTGGAGGTCAGCTGTGTGGTCAGAGTGGGTCTTGTCTTCCTTCCCTGCCTTCATCCCTCTCCCTGCTTCTCCTGCACCCTCTGAAGAAGAGCTATGTTGTGCATCCCTCAATTTTCCTAAAATGGGATTCCAAAGACAAAATGGTCCAGAGACAGTTCTGGTTGGGGGGGCCCAGTCTGGGTCACCATTCGCCTGCCAGTCACGGTCACTTGCAAGTTTGTCCCCAAAGCTCAGCTCCCTTTTTGACACGCGTTATGAATTCAGCTCATTTCTGGATCATGGCCCTTCTGGGGAATAATAGAACATAAAGAAACCTCTTTCTAAAGTTTCAACACTTTTCATAAATCAATAGTCTAGTCAAAAGTCAATGTTCTTTTTTGGCATTAACTTTTATATCAGTCAGAGTTTGGTTAGAAAAACAGGAACCTCTCTGCGTTCCAGGCATGAAGGTTATAGGGGCTTATGGGACTGCGGGAAACGGGGGCTGACAGAATGGCTGGAAGATCCGGGGTGTCAGAGGTTAGAGGAGCTGCTGCCAAAATCCAGGGACATTGACACGGCCAGGAACCTGGGCCTGAAGTATTGAAGCTGGTGGTTCTCACAAGCCTGCAGGAAGTTGCTGCAACGCTTGAGGATCTCTAGAAGCTCCTTCCAAGTGCTTTGGTTGGAAGCAGCAAAACCAGCAGTTCCCAAGCAGCTACTCTTTGAGAATGATGGCTTCTCCTTCACTTCCGCCTTTCAAATCTTGTGCCAGTTCCCCTCAGTGACAGACTCAAACCCAGAACCACATGGGCAAAGAGATGCTGGAAAATGTGATTTGTAGGTTCCTAACTGGGGAGAGAGTGGGGGATGCTGAGTTGGAAACACACAATTCAGTGTGGTTTTCAAATGATTTTGCGTTTTCCAAAACCTGCCTCTCCCTTTTCTTTCTTTGAAAAGAGGACCTCAGTAGCCAGGGGATGGGTAAGGAGCCCCACAATGTTTTTAGGACAAGGATCTATTCATACTTAAGTGACGTGGAAGAAAGGGCATTTGTTGTGACTTAAGGGGTGCTCAGAGGTGGGGGCTGTTGGTAGGGCAGGGGCAGCAGCCTGGTGTAGGGGAAAAAGCATGAGCTCCACACCAGCTTGGGCTGAATCCTGGCTCAGCCCCTTGACTGTGCCCACTTCAATTTCCCTTCTTCAAAAGCTGGCACATAATAACCTGCCTCACAAGTTGTTGTATTTAATGAAATAATGGCATGTCCATTCCAGGATGTTTAATGCAGCATTATTCACACAAGTTAAAATTTGGAAATAACCTAAATGTCTATCAAAAGGGGAATGGCTAAATAAAGGATAGAAATCAATGCTATGGAGCAGTATACAGTAGGTAAAAAGACTGAGGCAAACCTATAGTACTAACCTGGAAAGATTTCTAAGACATCTAAGTGAGTGAAGAAACATATTTGCACAATACTAATGACAGAAAAGCAACCTGAATGGCTGATGCTTACATAGCCCTTTTATTGCTATGTGTACATGCATACGTGTGTGTGTGTGTGTGCATGCCAGGCAATGCCCCTGATTGTGTGGGTCTCACAACAACCCCAGGAGTAGGGTGCTATTATTATCCCCACTTTCTAGGAGAGGATACTGAGACACACAGAGGTCAAGTAGCCTGCTGAAGCTTCGGCTGCCACTTACATAAAACATGTCCAGGGTGGGCGCAGTGGCTCATGCCTGTAATCCCAGCACTTTGGGAGGCCAAGGCAGGCAGATCACCTGAGGTCAGGAGTTCGAGAGCAGCCTGGCCAACATGGTGAAACCCCATCTCTACAAAAATTAGCCGGGTTTGGTGGTGTGTGCCTATAATCCCAGCTACTCGGGAGGCTGAGGCGGGAGAATTGCTTGAACCCGGGAGGCGGAGGTTGCAGTGAGCTGAGATCATGACACTACACTCCAGCCTGGGCGACAGAGCAAGACTGCATCTCAAAAAAAAAAAAAAAAAAAAAAAAGGAAAAACATGTTTGCATTATGGTCTGCATGCAAAATTGGTACAATTGATACTATTTATGTTATGAACCCCAGAAAAATTTAACATATATGTTTGAAAGTAAATGCATGAGAAAAGACAGGATGATGTTGGCTAAATGGTCACAGTGGTTCCTGGAGGAGAGTTCAGGGGAGGTTACAGTGATCTAAGTGACTTATGGACTTACCCATAATGTTTTACCTTTTTTATTAGAAGGCTGTTGTATTATTGGTGTAATTTAATGCCACCTTAAACACATTTAAAGTGTGAGATGAAGGGTGTAGGAATGTGGCACCCAGCAGGAGCTTGAGGTCAGTGTGTTCTTCCTCCTCCGTCTTCCCTTCTGCCAGGTGGGTGCCTGGGAAGGGCAGGTGGAGCTGAGATGGGTGTGAGGGTCTTCATGGCTCACACCACTCATCTGCCTGTTTGAGCATCATGCCAACTGGATGTCATTTTCCTCAGGAAGTTCCAAGAAGGCAAAAGGCCTCCTAAAGCCCATTGAACTAGTACAGCGGGCCAAGCCCTGAACAAACTGCCATTAGAGAAGGCGTGCGTGTACCCAGGTTCCTCCAATTTTCCTGGTGACCTCTCACAGCTGAGCTATTTAACCTCCTCAGGCCTGATGGCTCCACCTGCAAACTGGTGAGAAAATCATCCCCGCCTCCTTGGAAGGGGAGATCACCTCTCAGAGGAGCTGGCACTGTCCAGGAGTAACCCAAAGTGTCCTGGCACTTTTGCCAGGCACTGTCCAGGAGTAACCACCAGGTGAGTGCAGGCGGAAGAGTCTGCTGGGCTGAGAAGGTCGCATCACCTAGGGTCAGGGCAGGAGGCATCTGGGGAGGACAGCAGACATGAATCTGGGGATCCACAGAGATCCCACAGTAGCCCACATCTGTTCTGTGACTGTTTCTCCTGGTAACACCCCCCCACCCCCTCCACAGCGGGGGCATGAGATCTAGCCTGGACCTGTCTGAATCCTTCTTCCTCAGACAGTTGTGTTAGGGGACCTGGAGCATCCTGGGCCCACATGCTCTTCACACAGAGAAAGCTCATCTGCAGTGGGAGAAGATGAAGGTGATGGCGGAGACACAAAGATGTGTTTCAGCTCCTGAGTTGGCCTCTCTTGAGGGGATGTCCCTTCACCCCTGCCTTCATCGTCATGATTCTGTTAGAAGAGCCATAAATCCCCTCACCTTTGTTTCTGCTTAGTTCCCTTCACCGTCAGCCATTATTAGGTAATTAGATCAAACCCACCTCCTCCTTTTACATAGGAGAAACTGAGGCCCAGAGAAGGGGGCTGACCGGCCCATGACTCATATCCAGGATGGACAGACCTGGGGCTAGACCCCAAGGGCATCTGCTCCTTGATTTAACCAGGCTAGCTGACTCTGTGTGTGTCCATGGAAAAGAGGAGCCCTTTCCTGGGGGATGCAGGAATGGCTACTTGTCCATGTCCCAGCAGGGCGCACCACTCTGGAAGAAGCGACCAGCGCATTGTAGCTGGGGAGTTATCAGACTGAGAAATGTTCTTAATTTTCTTGTTTCTCTTCCACCGATCGCCTCTGTGATCTCTCTGTGTCATCTGCTTGTCTTCCTTACAGCCCACAGCCCCACGTTTGGACCTCCTGTTTGGCTCTTGTCATCGTCCACCTTGGATTAGACTCATGCAGGAACATGGTTTGCCCTCTCCCTCACTGCTGAGCACCTCTCCCTCATATTTCTCATATCCACCCCATCCTGCTATTGCCTTAACATTGCCAAGTCTCACCTTGACTAATCCGACAGCTTCCATATTACATAGAGTAACACTCATTAGCTGTGGTAACAATCATCAAGTTCAGTGGTTTAACAAAGTAAAAGTTAATTTCTTGCTCGTGTAACAAGTTGGTGAGGGTTGGGCAGCTCTCTTAGGCTTCCCTCCTCCAAGTGGTGACTCAGGGATCCAAGCCCCTTTCACCCATCACTAAACCATCTTGGAGTCCTTCTCTTCCAATTGTGTGCATGAGGCGAAGGCACGCCAGGTACCTTACCACCTTGCCTTGGAGATGACTTACATACTTCCCACTCCATTGCATTGCCCTGAATCAATCACATGGCCAGCCAGCTACAAGGAAGACTGGAAAATATAGGGGGATTCCCGCATAAAATACAGAGGAGTGCTAACAAATTCTACCATGTCTTTCTAACAGGAGTTCAGTCTCGCACAAACGTTTTAGATAGGATAGTCAGGGCTGGAGTTTTGGTACTGCAATTGACTAATTTAAATGTCTTCCTCCTGTGGTAGGCCCTGTAGTGAAATAATAGCCAGATGGGAAATGTATAGAAATTTCAATGGCTAGGCAAATACCTGACAAATGAGCCCCCAACTTCCATCCTAAATGTAGGACTTTTCTGGTGAGCCATGTGGGAGGACAGGTTCAGGTCCCATTTCTTTCCTCTGCAGCTAAGTGAGCAGTCTTCCATCCTGTCACCCAATCAGCCATGTGTAGAAGGCCCTAGAGTCTGCTTTGGTGGTGGGGATGTTGAGAGATGGGAACTCTTCTAGAAAGCATGAGAAGGAGGAGATCCTCTTTTGCATGGGTCCAGGTAATGACAGAAGGCTGGTTCTTGGGACCTGCATTTAAGGCACAGTTGCTCTGTCTGGTAGTGACTTAGGCCTGGGAAAGGGGAGTCCTGTGTTTTAAAAGGTCTTATTTGCTCTCCTCCAGCTATGTCCCTTCTCTCAGGGAACATGGACAGCTGGAGCTGTGCCCTCTTCCCTTCTAGATCATGCTCTGGGTACTCAGAACCCTGGAATTTTCTGGCCAAAGGGCCTCAAGGCAACTTCTAGTACCTGGAGCCCTCTTTCCTTTCCTTATTCTTTACAAGGTGGACCCCACTGTTGGTGGGTACACTCCCAGCCCAGAGAGTACCAAGGGGAAGTTGGTTGGGGGCATATGGAGCTTGGATGTGCAGCCAGAAGGTCCACATGTGTGCAGGTAGGGACCGGGGAACACAGGATTCAGGACAGAGACACGAGCAGCTGCACGCTGGGGGCTCATGCCTCAAACCCTCTCCCCACCATGTTCTAGCATGGAACACCAAGGAGTTGGAGTAGCCTAAATTTGGACCCAGACTTCTAGGTTGCTATGAAGGTCTATTTGTCATGGTAGGTGGATAGAATGTATTTTATGAACTTAGTTTGAGTGATAACTTTTAAATATTTAAGTGTACGGTCAGGGCTGCTTCTTGTGTGTGGGAGCTAGGGCAAATTTTTATAGGGTGTGTAGGAGCTGGGGCAATTTTTATTTTTATTTTTTTTGAGACAGAGTCTCACTCTGTTGCCCAGGCTGGAGTGCAGTGGGGCGATCTTGGCTCAATGCGACCTCTGCCTCCCAGGTTCAAACAATTCTTCTGCCTCAGCCTCCAGAGTAGCTGGGATTACAGGCACCCACCACTATTCCTGGCTAATTTATGTATTTTTAGTAGAGATGCGGTTTCATCATGTTGGCCAGGCTGGTCTTGAACTCCTGAACTCAAATGATCTGCCCACCTTGGCCTCCCAAAGTGCTGAGATTACAGGCATGAGTCACCGCACCTGGCCTGGGGCAAATATTTTAATGTCCCTGTTTATATAAACAATTTGTCACCCCGAATAAGTGTTGGTGCCAGTCTACTGGCACAATCACAGGTCATCTCATGCAAGAAAAACCGGCCAGTGGGAGCCATCTGCTTGCTGGCTCCTTTCTGGAGCAGGAGTCTGGCCTTGGGCCAGAGGAGGGAGGCTGGGGGAAGGGAGAGGGCCAGAGAGTGCCCCACAGGGGAGAAATGGGGACTGCAGCCCACGTGGGACCCAGCTTGGGCCTGGATTGCACCCCTAGGTTGGCACTGCTGGCCATGGGTGGTCATAGGCCCTGGCAGAGGATGTAGAGTGTTTGAGGAAGGCAGGGTACAGCGAGGGGGCCCTGGAACATGCAGTGGTCTAGGGGCAGTACTGGGGATGCCATATCGGCTCTATTTAAACTCTCACTCTAGGCCCCACAAATGTCAGACATGGAGCTGATCCACCCCCTTGTGCCATGTGGCCCAAGACATCACAGCCTTGAATTACTCAGGGGAGCAGCCGGCTCTCCCATGTGGGGGCGCTCTCTCCCCATAATCTCTCTCATTAAGAGTGAAATTTCCGTTCCCTGTGAGCCAGCCCTGAAACCCAAAGTCTCCTTTCCCAATGAAGATCTTTTCTTAAAAGCCTCAGGTCAGAGCCAAGCCCTTAGCCTGGCATTCCCAGCCTTTCCTGAGCTGGCCCCACGTGTCTTTCCAGACCTTCCTCCTGCTACTCTCTTCCGAGCAATTTACACGCTATTACCCATGATGATTCACAAATTCCAATTGAATTTGATTTTTTTTTTTTTTTTGAGACAGAGTTTTACTCTTATTGCCCAGGCTGGAGTGCAATGGTGCTATCTTGGCTCACTGCAACCTCTGCCTCCCGGGTTCAAGTGATTCTCCTGCCTCAGCTTCCTGAGTAGCTGGGATTACAGGCACATGCCATGACGCCCGCCTAATTTTTTGTATTTTTAGTAGAGATGGGATTTCACCATGTTGGTCAGGCTGGTTTCGAACTCCTGACCTTAGGTGATCTGCCCACCTTGGCCTCCCAAAGTGCTGGGATTACGGGTGTGAGCCACCATGCCCAGCCTCAATTTGAATTTTAAAACACATATAATGAGCAGTTAGCTACTGCCAAGCACATGCTGAACACATTCCTCAAGCAGTGGTTTCTAACCTTGGGCTCCTGTTATTTCCTCTTCTTGGAATAACCTTCCTGGCAATGCTCCTCCCCCAGTTCAAATGTCATTTCCTACAGTTTTTTCTTCTCGTTTGAATAACTTTGCTCCCCAATTAAAAACTTTTTTTTTTTTTTTTTTTTTTTTTAAGTAGAGATGAGATCTCGCTATGTTGCTCAGGCTGGTCTCGAACTCCTGGCCTCAAGCCATCCTTCTGCGATGGCCTCCCAAAGCACTGGGATTATAGGTGTGAGTCACTGTGCTTGGCTGGTTCCCCCCTTTTATTATGGCATCAATTCAGTTCAATCAAATTTATCACATAACAAAGCATGATACTCAGTGGATAAGACCCAGCCTTTGGGGTCAGTTTGAATTCTGGCCTGGAAATGTACTAGCTGTCTGACCTTGGGCAAGCCACGTCCTCTCTCTGAGCCTCAGTTTTTTCATCTGTAGAATGGGGATAGCAATAGCGCTATCTCATAGGGCTTTTGCGAGGATTCAATGAGCTAATGAGGATGATGATGATACTTAGAGCCTATCCCTAAGCCTGATGTCTGGCACTAGTGTTCAATGACTGTTAGTCATTACAGTCGTCATGGCTGTTATTAATATTAATTATGTACCTTCTGGGTTCTACACACTGTGCTATTATAATGAAGCACAGCCCCTGCCCTCAAGGAGCTCACAGCTGAGTGCAGAAGCAGACAGTTGACGCTAATACACCCGGGTTCCATAACAGAGGTTTTCTGGCAGAATCAGGAAAAACTTTGCAGAGGAGGTGTCCCTTGGACTTGCCTTGAAGGAAGGGCAGGTGTTTGGCAGATTGGGGTGTGAGGGAGTTGGGCTGGGAGGTGCCCGAGGTCTAGTATAAAATATCTGGAGCCAACTGGATGATCCAGTTGGCCATTGGGCTGCTCTTCCAGGAAGGGGCCTGAGTTGGCTTGGTGGCCTGGTTGTTGCTTGACATCATTGATGGTGAGCCCCCTTGGCCCTCCTCATGGCAGGACTGAGGGGGACTTATTTTCTCTCTCCTAGCCTCCCTCTCTCAGACCTGATGTGGGCCATCTCCTCTGCTTGGAATGCAATTTCCCTGGGTGGCACACTCCTATTCAACCTTCAACACTCAGCCCAGGTGTCACCTCCTCTACATCTTAGCATGCTTCCCCTGCACTCTCGTGGATCCTGGCATTCCTGGTCTTCTGACACATATTGCTGTGGGCTGTGATGTTCCAATTTACTTGCCTGTCTTCTTCCCCAGTAGATGAAGGCCTCATGGGGCCTCTGGAGGCAAAATTTTGACTTATTTATTTATTTTTTTTGGGTGCTCCCAGTGCCTGGAATAGAGAGTGTTTGTTGATGGTTGAGTGTTGATTACCCAGAATTCCTGGACTTTCAAGAGAGCCACATTCCTGTCTACAAATGCTCCTGTTTTAATTAGCCAGCACAGCCTGACTCCTAAGCAGTCCCATTCTGGGTTTTCTGTGCATTCTGAATGTGGTGCATTCAACTTCGCCACCTGTTGGGAGATGGGAAGAAAATGAGACAAATGGCCTTACAAGGGCCAATTGCTGTGGCAGTGCAGTCATTGCAGGCAACTCCGGCATTGGTGATCACCACAGCTCATCAGATGTGATTCGGGGGCCTGGACTAGAATGCGTTGATAACTGCAATGTGCCTGGAGCAATGCCAGCCACGCCTTTCTGTCCCAGATTGTCTATACATGGAACCCTTCCCATAGCCTCTGAGTCAGTACCACCCCCATTTCACAGGTGAGCAAACTGAGGCTTGTAGCATTGTGGTGGCTTGTCCATGGTGATGCTGTCAGCAAAGGCAGAGACTGAGTGGAATCCGCCAAGCTTTTCCTTCTCAGGTGCTGAGAGCAAAGGTCCCAGCATCTCTCTGGTTCTGTAGTTGGGAGAGGCCTGAGCAGTGAGCTTATACCCTTGGCCAACCTTCACCTTTTAATAGGTGTTTTCTCAATATTTACTCAGTGTTGGAGGGGGAGTCAACAGTGCGAGAGACCCTTCTTCCCCCCTCACATTCTCCTCTCCCTGTCTTCCATTCATCCATTGCCAAGTCTTCAATATGCTGGCCCCTTCCAAACCTTTATTTTCCCCACAGTTTTGTCTCCCAAGCCCCAGACTGCTGAATATCCCTGTTTGTGATCTGTTATTGTCTTTCTCAAAGTCCCCCAGACCTATCCTGGGGAAGAAGAATGAGATGTTTTCCTTGCCCTAATGGAGCTGAATTCTGGTAGATGAACAACAGATCAGAAAAAGAAGATTCAGAGAGCTTAAGTATCTCCCCAAAGTGTCACATGGCAGAGAGCCAGCCAGGACTCACACTTGAGACTCCAGACCCCTCACCCAGTATCCTGGCACTCTTTTCACAGTGCCAGGCTGTAGCTGTGCTCTAGAAAGGAGGGAACTCAACAATTAAGAACCATATAAAAGAAACACTGAAACAGAACAAAGAGAACCCAGGAGTCCTGGGTTCTAGTTCTGGCTCTGCCTCTGTCTCACTGTGCAACCTGAGATAACTCATTTTTCCTCTCTGGTCTCATGCTCTGCCTGTAAAATGAATAAATACTTTCCACCGTCAAAGGCCCACAAGTCCCCACACACATGCCGTTCCTCCATCCTCCATGTCCACTGGCAGCAATTATTGTGGTTGCTGTCTTATTCATTCCTGACTTACTTGTACCCATCACTCTCAGTAGAACTTGGACTCCTTAAGAGGATAAACCAAGTGCCATTTGTTTCTGTTTTTCCATAATATAGAACAAAGGGCCAGTTAAATGAACTGGGATTAATTCTGTGGGCAATAGAGAGCCACTGAAGGCTTGGGAGCAGGGCCCAGTGTATACAAAGCACTGTTTCAGATTTTTCTAGAAGTTATTCCTATTCTTTAAATTCTAAGAGGCAAAAAGTACTGTGGTGGTAAAGTCTTGAAGGCAAGACTTGATCAAGAATGAGTAACCTGGAACACAGCGGGAGAGTGTAGCTGGGGACAGTACCGCTAAGTGAATCCCCATTGGCACCTTTCAGTGCCGCTCCAGCCCTAAAATTGGGTAATTATGCCCACTGAGAAAGCTGTTAGCAACTTGTGCTCAGCACAGTGGGAAACAGTCAGCGGGTGAGTTCAAGAGAGTGTGATAATTGGATAATGCCTGATGATGCTTTAAAGCGTCCTTGGTGGATAGATGGAACCAGATGACCTCTCTGAGGCCTTCCAGCTTGAACATTCACGATCCATGCACACCTTTTAGTTTCTTTGTTTCTCAAGTGGTGAGAGGGGAGAGAAGATGCAGAAACCACTAGAGAGAGGGCGTTACCTGTTGAAAGTGCTTGGGTTCACATGCAAAAATGAAAATCCAATCCCACAATTATTGTGTGACACCTTCACCAGACTTCTTCCTGGTCTCGACTTTCTTGCTGTAGGGAGGCTTCACGTCTTACCCTGGTGAGCATTCTAAGATGGAAATGGAATGCTAGGGCAATACCATTGAGAGGTGAGGGCAGGTGGTAAGGGGAGGCTCCCACCAGCAGATGGACTCTCAGGGCCGAATTTCCAGGCAAAGGAAGCCATTTCCAATGCCAAAACACTGATGAACATTTTCCCAAGAGAAACCCAGGTAGGGAGGAGGCGGGAAGAAAACTCTTTCAACTGAGTACCTGTTATGGTTCAGGTTCTGTGCTTCATGCTGGAGATTTATTTTCTGGGCTCAGCCTCACATCATTTCTGCCAGGAAATGACAACAAACCCAGTTTTTATCACAACACTGAAGTTCAGGTTCTTTTTTTTTTTTTTTTTTTGAGACAGAATTTCGCTCTTTTTGCCCAGGCTGGAGTGCAATGGTGCAGTCTTGGCTCACTGCAACCTTTGCCTCCTGGGTTCAAGTGATTCTCCTGCCTCAGTCTCCCAAGTAGCTGAGATTACAGGTGTCCACCACCACGCCCGACTAATTTTGTATTTTTAGTAGAGATGGGGTTTCACCATGTTGGTCAGGCTGGTCTCAAACTCCTGATTTCAGGCGATCCACCCGCCTCGGCCTCCCAAAGTCCTGGGATTACAGGCATGAGCCACTTCGCCCAGCGAAGTTCAGATTCTTTAAATCAGCTGAGGTCACAGAGCTAAAAAGTCTCAAACCTTGGATTTAATGAGCTCCCTCTCCCTATTGGTTTCTGCATCTTCTCCTAAGGTCAGAATTGCCACTAGCCTATGTGGCACATTTGCACACATTAGAAGACGGTGCATTTCCTCAGGTGGATGAAACCCCACACCAGCGTGCACAGCTTGCTGAGCAGAGCCCAGGCTGTATTGCAACCCCCCTGGCCCCCTCAGCCGAGCACCGTTGTGCAGTGTGGAACTTCAACAAACATACATGGCAGCCCTGTCCAGGTCTGTCTCCTAATCCTGTGCTCTTCAAGACACACTGGGCCTTCTTGCAGCCAGATAGAATCACCTCCTCTTTTGCCTCCTTCACAGACATTCCTTCCATCCAGTGGATAAGTGGTTGGATGAGAATCATAGAATCAGAGAAGGAGGAGATAGAATTTGTATTATTAAATCCAAGCCTCTCATTTTATAGATGAGGATATTGACAACCAGGAGGTGGAAGTCACAGCCAAGGACACATCTTGAGTCATGAAGAGAAACTGTCAACTCACTGGCCTCCCGACCCTGTTTGCATCTCACCCTCAAAGGGTTTTGGCCTCAGCGCTTGCCCGCCGGTCTCTGGAACCCTATCCAAATGGTAACAACATCTAGGCTGTGACCAGGCCCTGATGTTCAATCTGGAGTTCCTTTCCTTCTCAGGGTGCCTGAGAGTTAGGGCTTTCACCCTTCACCCTCAGTTTGCCAAAGTCTCTTCTTAAGACACAGAGAAGGAAATTTGGTAAATTACTTTCTCTTTCTTGTTACTCTCAAAGAGCAGTGCCACTTCCCTGCGGTTAGGATTAAATGAAAGAAAGCATTTGATGAAAGGCACAGTCACTCCCCTGGGGCAGGCGAAAGGGCTATTCCTTCTTCTGTCCTCTACCTGGCCTCCTGCTTTCAAATACAGATGGAGCCATTCTCCTCTAAG
Source organism: Homo sapiens (assembly GCF_000001405.40). Lineage (NCBI taxonomy): Eukaryota > Metazoa > Chordata > Mammalia > Primates > Hominidae > Homo > Homo sapiens. The sequence continues at coordinate 35,135,354 of NC_000022.11, read as the reverse complement.
ATCTTCACGCTCAGGAAATCAGGGTTGTTGGCAGGGGAGGCATTCAGAATATTTAACCACCAGCAGGACCTGGGCACTGTCCAAGCAGGGCTGATGCAGGCGATAGCTAGAGCAGAGTCCTAGAGCCCCCCTGTGGCTCCTGAGGCTGAATGAAGGGGGGCGGGGGAAGGTAATGGTGGTCTAGTTGGCCCTGGGGGAGGGGCAGGGTGGCAGAGGCTCAGAACAGAAATGGTTCAATGACAAATGGTCTGCCTGTCCCTGTGCCTCCAGACTTACAGTCAACCCTGGCTGTTGGTGAGAAGTGGGTTAACCTCTGATGCCTACCCGCCAGGCACCTTCCCCAAGTCTGGGACAAGCGCCACGGTGGAAGAAGGTACTCAGGCTGAGGGGCCTGCGGCCCTCCCCTATCAGGTCAGAATTCCAGCTGGAGGCTTTCCCTGGGACAGCATGAGGTGCCACGGCTCCTCCCTTTACCTTTTCACCCCCGTGCCCTGCTGGTGACCCAGGTTTATGGGGCAGCCTATCTTCTCCTACAGTTGCAGGGGAACCCTTATCACGGTGCTGATTACACTAACAAGGCAGAGACACCCGCCCTGCTCTGTTGGGAGAACAACATGGAGCTCTAATTGTTTTATGGCCTCTTCACACTGAGAAAAGAGAGGAGAAATGCCAGCCACCTCCATCTGATTTCTAAGGCTTCTATTCTACAGTTACCTCCTTGTCAACCACTCCTGAGTCCCAAAACCCTGGTGTGGGGGAGCCCACATAGGGAAGGCACCTGAGAGCTGTCTGAGAGTTTCAGGGTAGTTGTGAGAAAACATCCCAAAACTGGCTTTTCCATTTGGTGAAAGGAAGCGGTGAAAGAAATCTAGCTCTCCTAGATCCAGACAAAGCCCTCATCTTGATGGTCCTCTTGCCAGGCCCTATAACAGGCACTGCGACTTCCCCGAGCCCAGCCAAAGCAAGGGGCCGCACAAAGCCCACCAGGCTGAGTAGAAAAACTCACGCTTCTCAGGAATATACCGGCATTCCCTCCATCAGCCAAACTCCAAAGACTGACATCTGTCATCTCCTGGTGCCTGCAGCAGTCCAAGGAGTGGGTGGGACTGGGGAGGGTGGAGGGAGGGCAGGGAGAAGTAAAGATTATTATCCACACTTCGTGGTTGAGGAAACAAACTAGGAATGTTAAGGGACCTTCCAGAGACAGCGAAGAGAAGAGCTGGGATTTGAACTCCAGTCTCTCCTTTTCCCTCCCCTTTCCTTCAGGGCCCTCCTCTCCCCTCCTCTTTCCTCTCCTTTCCTCCTCACCCCCACCTGCGCACACGCGCACACACACGCAGGCACACACACATGCACACACACGCACATTCGCTCACCTCTTTCCTGGGTCTTTCTCAGGTCGCCTCTCTCTCCTTCCTCCTCCCTTGTCTCCATCTCATCCTGCTCTCACTCTCTGTTTTCTGGCTGCCCTGCTCCATCCCTCTCAGCCTCTCCCTTGCTCTCTTTCCTCACCCCTCTCCCTCTCATTTCTCTTTCAGTCTCTGTCTGCTTTTTGCATCTCCCGCTGCCTGCTCGGTGGATATTATGCTTCCCCTTCTCTTCCTTTCTCCCGCAAACTGCTTTGACATGAGGGTCCAGGAAGCCTCTGCTTCTCCCTGTCTCCTCTGCCAGTGAGCGTCAGAGCTCCCTCTGCTTGGCATAGGGGCCCTGCCCCCAACTCGACTGCAGAAGCCCAAGCTGGCAGCGGACTCCATGGGAAGCACATAACCTGTTCCCTGAGTGGACTGGGACCTAGCCTTGGTGTCTCGGTGCCTTGGTGCCAGAGCCTCCCCTCGACTTCCTTAGCCAAACCATTAATTCCTTATACTTGTACTCAACAGTGGCCCGGTGCGTCTGTGAAAACACTTTCATTCTATTATTTTATTTTGATCTTCAGAACTGCATTGTAAGGCAGGCTGAGCAAGTTTGATGGTTCTCATATTACAGAAGGAGATATGGGAAACTAGCCTTTATCAAGGGCTTTCTCTGTGCCAGTCACTAAACACACACCTGTGAGGCACACACCAGCACTCCTGCTGACACTGGGCATCTATGTGCAAATTAGGAAAAGATGCCTACTCATTGGTACTCTTTCTTGCTACCTGCTTGAAGACCGTAATAGTAAAATACAAATCCATGCTGCTGCTGCTATGAATGATACCCTCTAGAGTTGTGCAGTGCACGACCTGCACACATGTACGTGGTGGCTCTAAACAATAGCAAACCTGCCAAGGAGAGATAATTGCTTGAATTTTGCATACAAGGATACCGATTCTGATCCCACCGTCTCAAGACAGCAGACTTCCCTTTCATTCCAACAAGCCTCTTGGTCCCCTGGTTTGGTTTTCCTGGTTCCTGGATATCAGCTGGGTTGGGAGCCACTAGCAATCTCTGATCCTCAGCCTTGATGTGTTCAGTTCAGGTGGTTCCATGACACAATGCAAAAGGCACCAGGCTGGGGGTCAGGATATTTGGCTCAAAACTAAGCTCTACCACTTACTAGCTGTGAAACCTTGGATTAGTTACTTTAACTTCTTTAAGCCTCAACTTTCCCATCTATAAAATGGGAAGAATCATGAATACTTTCCCCACAAGGTTGTCTGAGGATTGAGTGAGATAACGGATGTGAAAATAAATGACATATGGTAGACATTAATAAATGTTTGATGAATAAAATAATTCATGAATAAATACAGCGGAAAATATTGCTTCATAGGAGAAAGTGGACATAGGAGACTGTATTAAGAGCCAACGCTCCTGGGTGAATTCCTGGAGTCAGAAAAAGGTTAGCTGAGACTTTAGAGTCGGCAAGGTGCTCCTGTCACCCACAGACCCCCAGTCTCTCGGCACCCCAGGAACAACTGTCTTGAACTGCACTTTCTGTTCTTGTCATGGCCTCCACACTCATATCTCAAGGACCCAGAACATTCTGGAAGAGAGGAGTTAGTAGGCACTAACTAGCTCTTTTTTTTTTTTTTTTTTTGAGACTAACTAGCTCTTTTAACACAAGGTAGCTTTGACTTGTCAACATCTGGTCTATGACAGAATACCTTTCTTTACACCTTGGGAACACTCTTAGAATGTCAGGAGTAAATTAAAATTCTGCAAATCAAATTCTATTTTTGTGGCTCTAACTCAAATCTTCTTGATGGTGTTGTTTTTTAATGGGCAGATGAATCCTCAATTATCTGGCCTTCATCTGCTAGAAGCATTGTTTGCTTTATTGTTAGAAAGCTTAGAGTCAAATCTGCGACCACTTTGCAGTAAGTGGCTGGGACTCTGAGCAAATCCCAGATCTAAGCCTCTCTTCCTTTAACTTCCCTTTGCTTATTTTGCTATCTCCTTGTCTATGTCATTAGGTGCTTTATCTTGTGTCTCACGTATATCTTGGTACACTACCTTAAATCCTTTGGGGAACAAGGCAGGGCAGAGATAAAAAAATTTAATTTAAATGTGTCAGGTTAGTAGAAGCAAAGTCCACCCATGAAACTGAGATGATTCTGCAGATGCAAGGGTGTTATCGGGCTTCCCTTTGCTGAGCCTCCCCCACAGCCTCAGAGGCTGCACTGAAAGCTGGAATGAATTCACAAATGAATACGTGGAAATCTTGAACCAGCCCAGAGACTTGCAAACTGTGATCCGTGCAGCTTAAGCTTTCTGTGGACCTGACCAGAGCTCAAGGCTTCTGGCTCCCAGCTTCCACTAGAGCCATCTGCATTTCCTGTTTTACTTATTGGGCCTCCACATGAGATTAAAGGAAGTGTTCACAGCTAAAGACATCCTGAAAAGCCACAGAAGGAGGTGGCCTCTAGAGTTCTTTCAAGTCCTGCAAGTTTGATTATAACTTTCCTTGTCAAGCTTTTTTTTTTTTTTTTTTTTTTTTGGAAAAGGGTAACACTCTGAGAGTCACCCTTGTGCTCTGGAGCTGTCACCTCAAGGACTCTAAGATCTCAGTTCTGGGCTCTGGCCAGGGTGAAGCCAGTCAGGCTTCTAGGATGTAAAATTAAGGAGGCATGTGCTCTCAGGATTGGGCAAACGCTGGCCCTGCCGTTTAAGGAATGAGCGTCTCCTTAAGTTTTGCCACCGCCCCCTCCCCGCACTCCCCATGGACCTGCCTTAGCTTGGCCTTGCTTTAGTTGCCTTTCCCCTCACCCTGCATTTTGCAGTCTTGGATCTTTAAAATATGCTTAAATTCTACCTGTGTTTTGAAACACAACCACCATCACAACAACCTTGGCCCCACGCTCCCTTGTGGCTGCCTTTGCCTGCCCCCTCCCCTTGGCTGCCACACTTCTTCAAAGGTTGCCTGTACTTTTGGTCCCTGTTCCTTCTCCCCATCCTCTCCCTCCTCAACCCACCCCTATTTGGATTCTTCCCCATTGTCTCCAACAAACAGCTCTCAGGGAGGGCATCATGGACATTCTCCACGTTGCTAAAGTCCTGGACACTTTCAGACCTATCTCCTTGAATCAGCTCCCACTTGACTTACTTGATACAAAGTATCCTGGCTCAGCTACTAGTTCTCTGGATTCTTGTCCTCTGTCTTCTCCATTATGGTTGAGCATCCTTTACCAGGCACTGAATGTTGATTTTCCTCAAAGCTCCATCCTGCCTCCTCTGCTCTTCCTCACTACCTTCTCATCTGCCGCCATGCTTTCAGTTGCCACCTGCATTCCCTGTCTTCAGAATTTATATCTGCTCTCTCTGCTGGGTTCCAGACCAATATATAAATTGTCCTTTGTCATCCCTACTTGGATGTCTCCAGTGTATCACAAAATCCACATATTCAAAACTGAACCCATGATCTCCTTGTTCTCCCTCTCCACACCACCCCTAAAGACCTAGTTCTGTTTATTCTTTCTTCTAAATATTTTTATAATCACGAGCTAGCTGATATGGGAGAATATTGAGGCAATATAGGTGGGAGGAGTCGTGGAGGCTGCATGACCTTAAATCCCAAGGAGAGGGAAAAGTTATTTAATTGTCAAAAATATGACAGGACTGTCAAAAATAAATTAGATGAGAAATATACGTTGCAAAACGTGAGTCACCATTCTGTTCACTCAGAGATGCAATATTCATGGCGAACTTTTCATAAAAAAGTATAAGCGGCCGGGTGCGGTGGCTCACGCTTGTAATCCCAGCACTTTGGGAGGTTGAGGCGGGTGGGTCACCTGAGGTCAGGAGTTCGAGACCAGCCTGGCCAACATGGCGAAAACCCATCTCTACTAAGAATACAAAAATTAGCTGGGCGTGGTGGCTCACGTCTGTAATCATAGCTACTTGGGAGGCTGAGGCACGAGAATCGCTTGAACCTGGGAGGCAGATGTTGCAGTGAGCCGAGGTTGCGTCACTGCACTCCAGCCTGGGCGACAGAGACTCTGTCTCAAAAAAAAAAAAAAAAATTATAAGCACCATGATGAAATCTACTGATGATAGCACTTGATGAAACTGGTGGAGTAAACTCCATCACCACATTTGAGAAACCGCTGTGCCATCCCCTACCCTACTCCCAGTCCACCAGTGGGGAATTTCACTGAGCTGCGGGAGATCCCCAGAGGTGGCTAGTGACAGCAAAGCTCTACTTTGCACATGCTGTTCCCACTACCTGGGATTATTTTTCCTTCTCCTCTCCCTTCCCAGCTCCTCTCTATTCTTTTCCCCTGACCAAGTGTTACTCATTCTTTGTTTTTTATTTTTTTTTGAGATGGAGTCTCGCTCTGTTGCCCAGGCTGGAGTGCAGTGGCGCTATCTCGGCTCGCTGCAAGCTCCACCTCCCGGGTCCATGCCATTCTCCTGCCTCAGCCTCCTGAGTAGCTGGGACTACAGGTGCCTGCCACCATGCCCAGCTAATTTTGTTTTGTATTTTTAGTAGAGATGGGATTTCACCGTGTTAGCGAGGATGGTCTCGATCTCCTGACCCTGTGATCCGCCCGCCTCGGCCTCCCCTCATCCTTTGGTTTTTAAGTTAAATGTTACTTCCTCTGAGAAGCCTTCCTAGAATGCCCTTCCTAAGATTGTTCTGGGGTAGAGTCGGCCAATGGAAGTGCTCATGAGAAGTATAAGCCATGGAAGAGGAAGAAGGTTTTGCTCTCCAGAGGCATAGCAGCCGGGGAGGTGTACAGGCTTGAGCCTGGAAGCTTCCAGGGGAGCTTCTTGAGAGTCACCTACATCAGGGTCGCAGGTGGAGGAGCTTCTTGGTGGCCTCTGGGTGAGCTCCTGAAAATCACTCCCTTCAATGCTGCTGATAATAAATAATATCGATCTTCCCCCAAAACCATAAGCTCCGTGTGGTCAGGGTCACCATCTACATAATACATGACTGTATCCCCAGGTATTAGACTAAACTAAAACAGAGCCTATGTGGTCCCATTTAACAGATTAGAAGACTGAGAGCCAGGGTAGGTCACAAGATAGTGGCAGAGCCACTGTCAACCTACTTCTGAGTGCGTTCTTTCTTTGCCATGAGAACACTAGAAATGAAAGAGGGAAATGGCTTAAGTTTGAAATAGCTTTTGAGTCACATTTTCAGGTGTTAAGGCTCCAAATCGAGATGCTAGTCACACTGAAACTGAATCACAGGCTTCTCACTAATACCACTGAGTTATGATCACCATGTTCCAGTTGACAAAATTATTTCTTATCTTTGTGTTTTACAGGTATAACAATAAAAATTATTGTCAAGGGTATTATTACAATTTTTAACTACTAATGGAATTAAAATGTTTGATGGAGTATTGGCAACAAAAATGTACTCCTCACAGCATGTAAGAACTTTTTATTTATCATTTCTGGGCTTTCCAGTTGCTATAGCAATAAAATTCATACTCACCAGGATTATTACCATTTTCAGCCACTAATGGAATTACTATTTTTGTTTGTTTGTGGTTTTAGACCTTAGAGTAAAATGTAATTCCATCAACGGTATTGAAAATTTTAATGTCCTTAAACATTACCATGAAAGATCAACATAATAACGGAATTCCTCTAAGCTGATGATCACTCCCCTTTCAGCCACAAGGTCTTCTTGTTTCTCTCACTATGAGATCCAAATTTGTTAAGAAAGCATTTGGGGCATTCATTCATTATACAAGTATTGAGTAAGGCCCTGTGCTAGGGGTGGAGGCTGCAAAGACAAGTAAGACGTCTGGCATGGTAGTTAAGGATTCAGGCTTTGGGACCATCTGAACCTGAGTTTGAATCCTGGTTCTGGTGGGTGGCTCTGGGCAAGTTATCTAACTGCTTGAAGTTTCTGTTTCCTTATTCCAAAAGAAATGAGGAAACAATTCCCAGTTTGATGTTGGGTGAAGACGGAAAGAGACTATCTTTGCAATGTGCTTGGGAAGATGCTTGGTGCAGAATAGATGCTCAATGAATGATGGTGGTTGCTGTGTTTGTGGTTGCTGATGCTGTAGTCACAGCCCAGCCCTTTCTCTCAAAGCATTTGTTTTTAAGCAGGGGACATTCCATAGTTCTGACATGTGCTACACAGAGTATCTCAGGAGAGCTGTCTAATCCAGCTGGGAAAGGTCAGGTGGCTTCCTGCTGGAGGTGACTCCTAAGCTGAGTCTTGAAGGATGGGTGGTATTGCTACACAGGGAGAAAAGGAGAGGACTTTCCAGGTAAGTGCAAAGTCAAGAAAGCTAGTGAGAGCTTAGTGCCTGTGGGCGGGAGAGCAGTCATCAGATAGAGAGCAGTGGGCTTCTCCATGGGCTAAGCGACCCCCACCAGGCAACTCTGACTTTGAGCATTTCCCCAAACTCCTTCCTTCTCAACATGTGAAAATCCATTAATCATAATACACCATGCTTGGAGAGCCTGCAGGCTGTCTTTGGATGAAAGGAAGCATTATCATATTAACTAATTACATGAATTAAAATAGATTAATTAAATAAGTGGCTTAATGAGATTAGTGCATTTATTATTTAAGTATCCATCACTACTATTGATAATAATAATGGATTCTGCCCTTATAACAGGTGACAAATCTGTCAGCAAGCAGTGGGGTTTAAAAACCGCAAAGGGGGGTCACGTACATAGGGTAGACAGAGGATGCTGCAACTCCCCTGGGCTTGTCCCTCGGAATCCCATGGTGACGAAGGCCAGGATGTGGTCAGAGCGCTGGTTTTCATCCCCCCCACTTAGGCGACCTCTCAGAGTTTCGGTTTCCTCACCTGTAAAAAGGACAGGGGCTATCTCAGCTTAGTGGGATTCAGTGATACTAAAATTAGATAATGTTCCCAGCCAGATAAATCTGGGTTTCCCCCAAAGGAGAGCCTGGGTCAAAGGATAATGAGGGAACCCCCTCGTTGCCACTCAACCTTGCTATCTCAGTAAATTCATCCACTTGGCCACTGAAGATGAACAGCTGCCATTTGACTGGAATTCACCATGTCCACCAACACTGGACATACCAGTTCCCTGGCAACATCTACCACTCTTATCAAAAGGATAAGAGGTCATGGTATTAGCTCCCCTTCTTTCCTGTTTTTATTCCCCCGATCCTCACGCCTTCATTCTGGGATCACATTCCCAAATAAACTATCCACATAAACTTTTGGGGGAATCCAGGATAAACATCGGGAACTGAAAGTGTCCCTTGAAAGCAATCCTCCAGATGACATTTTGGAACTGACGCCTGCAGAGGTGGCTGCCCCAGGCTTCTCAGAGATGCTGGTTTGCTTTCCCTACACCCTGGCCTGCCTCCCTCCCAACAGCATGTGGCTTATTGCCTCTGTGGAGGGTGGGTTTGCCCATCTCACATAATAAATATAGCTAGCTGCCCTGCCTCCCTAAGCCTTCTGGTCCCTTTCTCAATATTGTGCCAGAGCAGTTCTAGCATCTTCACTTCATCTAATTATACTTTGGGAGGCTGAAGCAGGTGGATCATTTGAGGTCAGGAGTTCAAGACCACCTGGCCAACATGATGAAACCCCGACTCTACTAAAAGTACAAAAATTAGCTGGGCGGTAGTGGTGTGCACCTGTAATCCCAGCTACTCGGGAGGCTGAGGCAGAATTGCTTGAGCCTGAGAGGCGGAGGTTGCGGTGAGCCGAGATCACAACACTGCACTCCAGCCTGGGTGACAGAGTGAGACTCTATCTCAAAAACAAAACAAAACATAACAAACAAAAAAACTTCAACAAATAAATCACCGTGCTCCAGCTACAAGGAGCTGTCCCAACAGAGTGTTAGGATGGCCCCCAGTATCCTTGTTAAAACAGGTCACAATTGAGTGTCCTTGTGTCAATACTTCTACCCTAACCCGTGAGAGTCTTTTTGGCTGGGTCTTGCAACTCCTTCAGTGTGAAAACTACCCCAACCCAGAGCTGCATTTGTGTGTTACTGCTTGCGTTGTACCTAGACTTTATTCTGTTTATCATCCTGAAAGTAATGAGGGACTGTAGGGGTAGATCTTGAGGAGGACAAGCATGAATTTGTGAGATACCAGCCTCACTCTCTGCAGGCTCTCTAAGCAAGGAAACATAGCACTGCTCTGTAGAGGGGAGGAGGATGTTTCTTTCTTTTTTCTTTTCTTTTCTTTTTCTTTTTTCTTTTTTTTTTTGTTTGAGACAGAGTCTTGCTCTGTCGCCCAGGCTGGAGTGCAATGGTGCAATCTCGGCTCACTGCAACCTCTGCCTCCCGAGTTCAAGTGGTTCTCCTGCCTCAGCCTCCTGAGTAGCTGGGATTACAGGCACGTGCCACCACTCTTAGCTAATTTTTGTATTTTTAGTAGAGACGGGGTTTCACCATGTTGGCCAGGCTGGTCTTGAACTCCTGACCTCAGGTGATCCACCCGCCTCGGCCTCCCAAAGTGCTGGGATTACAGGCATGAACTACCATGCCCAGCTGGAAGAGGATGTTTCTATCGGCCTGATATGTTCACAGCATGTGGGGTCCAACATTCTCAGGCTAGTTTACCTAACTGTCCTCGTTCTGAATTTTAGGGTCCCATTCATTTCCTCTGAGACCTCTGATGATCACAGGAGTCTTGTGGCTGTGCATTTAGGTTCCTCTGTAATTCTTCCACTCTTATAGTCAGATCCAGGCCGGATTCTCAGCACGTTTTGCCAGGTAGCTTCAGGAGATGAGAGTATCCTTAAATAGTGCTATAGATGGAGCACAACTCTGCCTTGAATTGACAGGTTGGCTTATCTGAGCCTGTCATTTGTCGTTTTTAACGTTTCTCAAGCAGTTAAGAAAAGCTGGCTCACTGCACAGTCTTCATAATTACTCTTACCCTTAGGCTGGTCAAGTGCCACAGTCATTACACAATTCAGAATTTCACTATCCAGCTGTACCTTATTCTGTTCAACCACAGATGGAGGCCTGAGTGGTTGTGATGCTACAGAATTTCAGGGGTTATTAATAGCTGCAGAATGTTAACTTTCTGGATTGCTTTCCAGGGCCACTCCCAGTACTCAATGTCTTTGCCTGGGTTTCCCCAAAGGTTTATGTGAAGATAGTTTATTTGGAAATGTGATCCCAGGAAGGAGGAGCGAGGATAGCAGGGAATAAAAACAGGAAAGAAGTAAATCCAGTACAAAGACCTGCTATCCTTTTGATGAGTTTGGCCACCTCTAAAGAGGACTACTTATTCAATTTCAGAGTTCCTTTTTTTTTTTTTTGAGACGGAGTCTCACTCTGTCACCTAGGCTGGAGTGCGGTGGCAAGATCTCGGCTCACTGCAACCTCCACTTCCCAGGTTCAAGCGATTCTCCTGCCTCAGCCTCCCAAGTAGCTGGAACTACAGGTACATGCCACCACACTCAGCTAATTTTTGTATTTTAAGTAGAGACAGGGTTTCACTGTGTTGGTCAGGCTGGTCTCAAACTCCTGACCTCAGGTGATCCGTCCACCTCGCCCTCCCAAAGTGGTGGGATTACAGGTGTGAGCCACCGCGCCCAGCCCAGAGTTCCTTCTAAAAGCCTTCTGGGTTAGGTTTCAGAACCACCTACTGGAGGAAAGAAAGAGGGTGTCTGTCCCCTGCTGGTCAAGAATTGTCTGAAGAGGGTCAGCTGCCCTGCACTTCCAGTTTGCATGTTAGTGAGTGTTGAGTGGATTTTTCCCAGGTACCTGGGGTCAGGAGGTGAGAAATGCATAGTAGGGGCCTGAGATAAGGCACAGTCAGGTTTAACACTCATGAAATTGGTCTAAACCTGCACAGTTCTGCTCTTCACAGCAGTGGCTGGAATAAGAGATGAAGCTGATAAGATTTGATGTGATGTCCAAGGAGTGGCCAGTATGTGAAGTGTTTTGCAAAGTTTCTGGTACAAAATAAGAGAACAATTTAAAAGGCAGTTACGATTTTGTATCCCTGGTTACATGCCTTCAATAAATAATGGATGAAGGAAAGAAAAGAGTAAGTCCCTGGCCTTTTGTAAGAGGGTCTCACATGTATATTTAAACGGCTTAGCTCACATGCTAGTGCAATGTGAGTGTGGGACGTCTGAGGGGTGTCTGTCCACATTCTACAAAGATCTCTGTGCTGAACCAACAGGACTTTCCACTGATATTCTTGAGAAGAGATTTTGGCCTATGTCTCCAGAGGAGCACACTTGAATAAACTCAGGTGGCCTGGGGAAGTATAGCCTAGTGGTTATGATCATGGGCTCTGAGACTGCTCAGGGTTGAATCCAGACTCAATCACTTATTAAAATGTGTGTGGGCAATGTCTGCTTCTGGGAAGATAGGACAGACATACTTTTCCTTACTTCTCTTGCTGTGTGCCACTAACAACCCTGGACATGAAATACAAAATAAACATAAGACTCTAAAAGGTGGAGAAGGCGGCAGGCTGGCTAGGGACTTTGGGATCTGAGGAAAAATCGGGTGATGAGTTTCTAGGAAATGTCAATCCAGATTCCTATACCCAGTGAAAATATCCTTCAGGAATGAAGGGGAAATCAAGCCATTCTCAGATAAAGGAAAATAAGAATTTGCCGCCGCTAATGGACCTGTCCTAAAAGAATGGACGGAAGGGCCGGGCGCGGCAGCTCACACCTGTAATCCCAGCACTTTGGGAGGCCGAGGTGGGTGGATCACCTGAGGTCAGGAGTTCCAGACCAGCCTGGTCAATATGGTGAAACCCCATCTCTACTAAAAATACAAAAATTATCCATGCATGGTGGCAGGCAGCTGTAATCTCAGCTACTCGGGAGGCTGGGGCAGGAGAATCGCTTGAACCCGGGAGGTAGAGGTTGCAGTGAGCGGAGATTGCACCACTGCACTCCAGCCTGGGTGACAGAGCAAGGCTCTGTCTCAAAAAAAAAAAAAAAAAAAAAAAAGGAATGGGCAGAAGAAATTCTCTAAACAGTGTTTCAGGTGCAGTAGGGATTAGAGGGAAGTGGATTGATATAAAAGGGCAATATGCAACAAGAGGGATCTTTGTGGTGAATGAAATGTTCTGTATGTTGATTGTATCAGTCAATATCCTGGTTGTGGTAGTTCTGCAAGATGTTACCACTGGGGGATTTCTCTGTTATTTCTTGCAGCTGCTTATAAAGCTCCGATTATCTCAAAATAAGAAGTTTAGTTAAAAAATGCATGACTTCAGGCAAGTTACTCACATCTTTCAGCCTTAGGTTTTACCATCTGTGAAATGGGGATGATACAAAGATTCCCAAATGTAAAATGGGAATGCCACAGAGTGTTGCTGTAAATAAATAAAATGAAACAAGACAGTTACTCAGAACAGCATCTGACACATGGTAACCACTTGTTATATGTTAGCAATAATTACTACTAACAATAAAAAGAACTACTTTGCAGCCAGGCACGGTGGCCCATGCTTGTAATCCCAGCACTTTGGGAGGCTGAGGCAGGAGGATCATGAGGTCAGGAAATCGAGACCATCATGGCTAACACAGTGAAACCTTGTCACTACTAAAAATACAAACAATTAGCCGAGTGTGATGGCATGCGCCTGTAGTCCCAGCTACTCAGGAGGCTGAGGCAGGAGAATTGCTTGAACCCGGGAGGCAGAGGTTGCAGTGAGCTGAGATCGCGACACTGCACTCCAGCCTGGGCGACAGAGTGAGACTCAATCTCAAAAAAAAAAAAAAAAAAAGTACTACTTTGCATTGGGTAGCACATCAAACCCTTAACATAGCTTCTCTCACTTAATCCTTATAATAGCCCTGGGAGGCAGATGCTACCAGAAAGGCCATTTTCAGATGAGAAAATGGGAGCTTTAGCAAGTTTTCCAAGGTCACACAGCTAATAAGAGGCACATGCACTTTGGGAGGCCGAGGCAGGTGGATCACGGGGTCAGGAGATCGAGACTATACTGGCTAACATGGTGAAACCCTGTCTCTACTGAAAATACAAAAAATTAGCCAGGTGTCGTGGCGGGTGCCTGTAGTCCCAGCTATTCGCGAGGCTGAGACAGGAGAATGGTGTGAACCCGGGAGGCAGAGCTTGCAGTGAGCCAAGATGGCGCCACTGCACTCCAGCCTGGGAGACAGAGCGAGACTCCATCTCAAAAAAAAAAAAAAGAGGCACATGTGGGATTTGAACCCTGGCTTCTCCCCCTGCCCAGGTTCGAAACCACTTCGTCACATTGCCCAGATATTGGTTCTCCTTCCAAGATGGATTTTTGTTGTTGTTTTTATTTGTCTCCTCTGTCTCTTTACCAGAACAATGATTACAAAGGTTTATGAAGCTGGTCTTTGACCTAGAGAGACCATGCCCCATGCCCCAATCCTCCCCCACCAGCCATAAAACCAAGAGATGGAGTAGGAGGAGGCAGTGTGAAAGAGAGCAACACAAATAGGCAGGCTGGGGTCCTAGAGCCTACGACAAAGAGGTATAAAGAGTGGGAGAGGGCCAGGCGCTGGTGGCTTGTGCCTGTAATCCCAACACTTTGGGAGGCCGAGGCAGGCAGATCACTTGAGGTCAGGAGTTTGAGACCAGCCTGACCAACATGGTGAAACCCCATCTCTACCCCAAAATGCTAAAATTAGCTGGGCGTGGTGGGGTGCACCTGTAGTCCCAGCTACTCAGGAGTCTGAGATGGGAGAATCACTTGAACCTGGGAGGCAGAGGTTGTAGTGAGCTGAGATTGCGCCACTGCACTCCAGCGTGGGTGACAAGAGTGAGACCCTGTCTCAAAAATAATAATAAAAAAAGAGTGGGAGAAATCAGCCAAGGCCAGGAGAGGTCCCCCAGGGGCCTACCCCAGTGGGAACCAGAATGACAGAGAAAAGTTTAGCTCCACATTTCCCTACTTGCTGATGCTATGACCTTGAGCAAATGCACTAACCTCTCTGAGCCCCAGTTACTTCACTGACAAAACAGGGCTTGTGTTAGCACCTCTGGATTCTCCGAAGACTAGATGAGGTCCCAGTAGTGAGCACATTGCACCATTGCTGGTACACAGTAAGCTCTTAATAAATGTTCCCTCCTTCTGCTCTCCTCACTGGTAGCTGATTTAAGCGAGTGAGGTGATCCTCACCTTGGGGCTCATAGAGCTTAGGGGGCTCTGTTGCTACAGAAGTCAGATATCAAAAGTTGTGGAGGTTGTTTTCTGTTGTTGAAGGAAGCATCTTTCTATTAATATAATGGTGTGTTAAGGGTATTGCACGTGGTAGGCGTGGGAAGGGGTGAGCTGAGCTGTGAGGAAAGGGCCCTTTCCCCAGGTTTCAGGGAAGGAGGCTCAAGCCTAAGGTGATTTTTAAATAATAGTCCCAGCTGTGTGGCTCAGGAAATGAGGATTTCATAAGAACAACAATAATAAAAATAGCAACTACACAGCAGATACTTAGCATTAATAGCAGGCTAGTTTATCAGCAGAGCACTCAGCAGGCCTTAACTAATTAAAACTGCTTCAAGGTAAGCAGTTATTGATTTGTGAGGAAAGATTAAAATAACTCCACGTAGAGCTTCTTATGTCCAGTCAGGCTGAACAACGAGTGAGCCTGCGACCTGAGAATGGCTTCATTCCCAGGTGCAAGGGGTGATGCCTGTGGGGGGCTTCTGGGAGGCTGGAGCCCCCAGAAGGCCTTGGATCTTCTGGACCAAAAGGTTTTTTCAACTGCAGAGAGGAGACAGCCATGCTTGCCCTCCAGGGGCTGGGTCCGGGGGAAGAAGGTGCCGTGGGATGGAAGAAGGTGCCACAGTGACAGTAACGCTGGCTGCTGTGAATTGAGCACTTACCATGTGCCAGTGACCTAGGTGTTGACTCCCGTTATCATATTTAATTTGAATAACAGCCCTATGAGGTGAATACCATTATCCCTGTCTTACAGATTGAGAAACTGAGGTCGTGGGAGATGAAGTCATTTTCCTAAGGTCCCATAGCTGGTAAGAACGAGCTTTTTCTCAGGATTTCTGGAAGGTTTTGCACAGACTTGCTCTCAGTTGATCCTTAAAATGAACGTCTGGGGCTAGGGACGTGTTCTTTTTTTACAGGTGGGGAAAATGAGGCCCACAAGAAGGACATCCCTTATCAGTGGTGGGACCAGGACACATAAGCCCAGGGCTGTCTGACTCCAAGATCACTTCTCTTTCTCCTCCTGGATTCTGAGACTGATGGAAAGAGGGGCTCTCCAGGCTCTACCTTGAAGAGGAAGTTTCTGATGTCAAACCTGGTGCTGAGAGTTTGTGACCTTTGCTCAGCACACTGGTGGTGGGGATCAGAGCCAGATTAGATTCTCCAGCCACTCTGGTCTCTTTCCAGCCTTGGTCTGTGCCTCTGCAAAGTATTCCATGTCTACAAAGTGTTTTTGTATCCCTTTTCTCAATGCTCCTCAGCAAGCAGGACTGGAAAATAAGTCAAGTGTCCAGGCCCAGGCATGGGACAGATTCACTGCTGAGCTTAGGCTACCTGACACTGAAGGCCAGGGCTAGGGGGAACCCCAGGTGCTTCCTGGACTGGAGGATCCTTGTCACCAACATAGCTGGCATCCTGGGACCACTGCTGGAGAAAAAGGAGACGGAAAGGAAGCACGTACTGAAAACCTACAATAGCTTCATATTGTGTTAGATATTTTTACTTACTCCTTAATTTAACTCTGCCACAAAGCTAACATTATCATCAACTTCGCCATAGTGCAGAGGAGAGAGCTGGCTGACCCAAGGATACACAGCTAGCAGGTGAGTGAAGCAGAGCTTGATTCCGGTATGACAGCTCCAGAGCCCACCTGCTTAACAGTGATGCGTGCCCACCTGCCCTGGAAATGGGGCATGCACAGTGCATTATTAATGATAAAGCTCATATTTCTGAATGGGTGCTGTATGCCATGCACACGGCCCTTTTATGTAATCCCTAGGACAGTCATAGGCAAAAGGTGTTATCGTGCCCATTTTATAGATAAAACATTCAAAACCAGGAGGTGCGCAGCAAAGTATTCCATGTCTACAAAGTGCTTTCATGTCCCTTTTCTCAATGCTGCAAAGCAGGCAGGACTAAAAAGCGAATCAAGTACCCAGGCCAACTCATGGGGCAGATTCACTATTGAGCTCAGGCCATCTGACACTGAAGACTCTTGGCCCTCCATAGGGATCCCTGTCCATGGATGGATTCAGGGAAGGACAAGGGGCCGTGCCCACCCAGCCAGTACCCCGGGTGGGCTGTCAGACCCTGGCCTCCAGATTTAAGCCTCATTCTCCATGCCAGGTGCTACTGGTAATGAAGGCATAGCTTTCCTGAGTGGCGTTTCTTGGTGAGTAAGGAAGCAAGACGTGGTACTCAAGTCTGACTCCAAAACCCAACTCTCACCTACTACGCTGATATTTATTTCATCTTTGTTTCTTACGCTTGGACATCTCCTAGTATCACCTCTTCACGGTCCTTCCAGCTTCTGTTCTTGGCTTTAAAGTCAACGTATCCCAGTTTGAGGTTGCGTATCTTTATAGCACAGTAGTCAGAAGACCTGGGCATTGATGTTTGTAAAAGCTTCCCCATGAGGTTCTAGTGTGTGGCCTGGGCTGAGAGTCACAGCTGAAGGAAAAGGTGCAGAATCCTCGTTCTAGAACAATCTCCTGAGATCTTCTGGTTCCATGCCCTGGCTTTGCCCATTTCACAGGTGAGTCAGGAACCTGAGGCCCAGGAAGCTGAGGTGGCATTTGAAGGGCGTGTGGAGCATGGGTGGGGCCTAGAAGCGGATCTCCTGGCTCTGGTGTGGGGCTTTTTCTCGTACCACTTAGCTCTGCAGCCACGGCCTTGAATGTGAGCCTTGCCGTCCCTTTCCTGGGCAGCTCTGGTTTCTCCCTGGTCCCCGCTCTTATGGCCTTGTCCTCCCGTGGGCCACTTTCTTCTGGCCAGCCTTGATTATATCACAAGTCGGGGCCTCCAAACACCGCAGGACCAAGGAATTGTGGAAGTTACAGCAGAAGGAGTACTGAGAGGGACTGTCATTGTGGTGAGAGAGAGGGCTTCGCTTCCATTGGATCTGACCATCTCCCAGACACACTAGCACTTGCCACCTTTCAGCTTTGGCCTGCATCTGGAAGTAAGATGATGGAGAAAGGCAGCCCAAATAGCACCTTCATTATCGATAGTGCCTGGCATGGCGAATGGGGCTTAAATCTGGAGGCCAGGGTCTGACAGCCCACCCGGGGTACTGGCATGGAGAATGGAGCTTAAATCTGGAGATCAGGGTCTGACAGCCCACCCGGGGTACCAGCTGGGTGGGCACAGCCCCCCGCCCTTCCCTGAATCAATCTATGGACAGGGATCCCTATAGAGGGCTAAGGGTTCAGGTCCTCTATCTAAGCATCTGGCTCCTAAGAGAGAGGGAAGAAGAAAGGACAGCGTTGCAGGGGCCCCGCTTCTCCTCCTTGTCAGTCCACAGGTATGAGGGCAGCAGCGCCAGGAGTGGGGTGCTGAGGGCAGGCAGAGGATGCTTCAGAAACACCTGTGTAGTAAGAGGGGAGGGTAATACTCATGCTCCCAGGACGGCTGAGGATTCAATGAGGCTGAAGCAATTCTGTTGAGATGAGCTGTCTTGTAGACAATTGAGGGTTTATTCTGAGAGAGCAGGTGGTGAAGGAGCTCTGGGTCTGAGTTCTCGTCCTGGCTGTGTGGCCCTGTACACGCCACCTCTCCCAGCGTCAGCCTCCTCACTTGTAATATGAAGGTAGCCATAAAACCTGGCCTGTTTCTCAGGGTTACCCCGAAGATGCAGTGAAGAAAGTCACGCTGCCATCCCTGGTAAGGGTGGGAACTGCTGCCTGGCTTCCAGGGCCCTGCAGTGTGCCTGGCTTGGTGCCCTGGCAGGGTCTGGTCAGCCTGCCCTTCCCGTGCGCCAGCAGTGAGCCCCGGGCTGCACTCCCTTGGCCGGCTGAGCTGCACCCCTTCTCTGTGCTATGACAGCACCACTTTATAAACCAGGCGCTCTCCTCGAAAGCTATGCCTGGGGCACATGTTTTTATCCTGCAGCCATAAAGTGGGATCAGGGAAGAATTTACAGTCAAGGCTATAAAGTAATAACAGGAAAGAGGCCATTTTGCTGGGTTCAGGTGGAGGTGAGCGAGGAGTTCAGAAGTTCAAGACCTCCAGGCATTTCCTGGGTGGCTGATAATCCTCCTGGTGCTGAACCCGGCTGCACCCCAGTCCTGGGGCTTCTCAGGGTCTGAGTGAAGGGGGCCATTGTTGATGGTTCTCAGCTTGGACTGATGGACACCTGTAGGCTTGAGTGGTGTCCCCAAGTGAGGGCACTGGGGGTAGGGTGCGCCTTTTTGGGCTCTCACTTCTATGCCACCTGGGGAGGAGGTTTTCCCGGGCTCCTGTCTCATTCTGGGAACATAAACGGAGGGGCGGAGTGTGGCCAGGGAAGTCAGCTAAGCTTGGCCATGTGGGGTTCCTCGGCCTGGGTTCATGTCCTGACTCACCACTGGCTCTGTGGCCTTGGGCAAGGCCCTCTACCTCTCTGAGCCTGTTTCCACACCTGTTCCTGGGGGAGGATAACACCTCCCATAACTGAGCTTATATCCTGGCACACAGTTGGTGGATAACAGAGGCGGCTCCCTGGTCTTCCTCTGTCATCCTCATGCTCTCTCCTGCTGGACTTTGCACCTTCCCAGCACTCAGAGACATGGACCCGATGGGGCTTCGGAGTCATCCTAGCCTGAGAGGGGCAGAGGTGGGAGCTCTGGCCTCTGGAGCCCAAAGCATTAGGTTCTAGTTCCTGTATGAACACTTCTTAGCTCTGTGATCTCAGGCAAGTTGCTTAACCTCTCTGAGTCCCAATTTCTACCTCCATGGAAGGCAGATTTTGTTGCCAATGTTCTGGGGCTGTTCCCTGGACACCCTGCTGTACCTGGTCACTGCGCCTGGTCCTAGGGGAGGCCTTCAATAAGTGCATTTACTGAGGGGAGAATGAGGCCTAGAGAGGTGGGAGGACTTTCCCAACGTCACCCAGCTGGGAGCTTGGTCTGAAGAAGGAAGGGGCTGTTGCATCTTCTAACTGGGATTTCTCAGGCTTTCAAGGATAGAATTGAGTGTCAATGGCAAGGCAGATTTTGTGGGGTGGTGAGAAAAATGGCCAGTCACAGCAACTTTGTATTCAAATCCTCTTTAACACCATCGGAGGCCAGCAATATTTTGGGATTATTGAGGGCCAATGATGGCCTGCGGGACAAATCCAACCCACTGACTGATTTTGTGAATAAAGTTTTATTAGAACACAGCCATGGCCATTCTCTGATGTGTTGTCTCTGGCTACTTTTGAGCTACAGCTGCAGAGTTAAGTAATTGCAACAGGGATCCTAAGACCCGTAAAGCTTAAAGTATTTACTATCTGGCCCTTCATAGAAAACATTTGTGCACTTCCCTAGCAGCTGTGGGATCTGGGGCTGGGATCTATGCTCGAATCCACTGTCCACCTTCCTTTTCTTTTTTCTTTTTTTGAGACGGAGTCTTGCTCTGTCGCCCAGGCTGGAGTGCAGTGCCATCTGGGCTCACTGCAAGCTCCGCCTCCCAGGTTCATGCCATTCTCCTGCCTCAGCCTCCCAAGTAACTGGGACTACAGGCGCCTGCCACCTCGCCTGGCTAATTTTTTGTATTTTGTTTAATAGAGACGGGGTATCACCGTGTTAGCCAGGATGGTCTCGATCTCCTGACCTCGTGATCCGCCCTCCTCGGCCTCCCAAAGTGCTGGCTAACAGGCGTGAGCCACCACGCCCAGCCACCACCTTCCTTTTCTAGAAGCCGAGGGGCAGCTGCCTGCTCACTGCCTCATTGTGTGGCAGACAGTGACCTGAAGCCACAGAACACCTAGATAGCTTCTAGCATCAGGTTACAGCCTGGCTAATTTGTACTGTCCTCTCCCAGGGTCACACCAGAGAGGAGAGGCAATGGTGGTGGGAATGTTCCGCGGGCCCCCACAGCTCTCCCTCCCATGCATGAAATGCTCTGCCGTTGAAGCGTCTTCCAATCCCCTTTGTGTTTCCTCAATTCTCATAGCAACTCTCCTAGGCATGTACTTGTCGGTAAGTGCTGAATGGATAACACAGGAGGGAATCCCAGTTGTGTATTTTAGAGGAATTGTTGAAAGTCCCATGGCTTCTCCATCAGGCTCAGAGCCTTCCCCGTGGTGCCACTGAGCACCAGCCATCCCTGTGGTTCCGCTGAGCACATCTTGGGTGGAGGCGGGCAGAGATCTGGACCCCAGCCTGTCTCTGATTCCTCACGTGGGGCTCTCTGCCTGAGATTCTTCCATTTGTTCTGTATGCCCAGCACACCACATTCGCTTTATACACTTACTGGTCGTGCACTGAAATGCAGAGTTTTACGGAACTCTTTAAAGACGCTTGAGTGAGCCACTTGAGAGCATGTGTCTTCCTGTTGTCAAAGATGTTGCACATCGAGGGCTGGCTGCGTGCACGTGGAGCTCCAGCTGGTGGATTCTCTCTTTCCTCCTTTCATGGTCACCAAACCCAGGAAGTTCCTCTTCCTAAAGGTTCCTTGGAGAGCTTCTGGATGCCTTTTCCAGAGAGCCTGGCTCAAGGTCAACAAAGGAGTCCAAGACACAGCTGGAGTGAGGATCCATTTCTTTGGACTCCAAATGTGGACCAAGCATTGTAATATGGGGGTGGAAGAAAGAGCAAAAATGAGGGAGCCAGGAGGAGCTGGCTTTGAATCCTGAATTTGTCATAGCTGTGTGATGTTGAGCCTGTTCTAAGATCCTCAGGACATCTCTTTCCCTATCTGTAAAATGAGGAAAGTGAGGGCTGCCTGATTCATTCAACGGATATGTCCTGGGGCTTCTTCCAGATGTCAGCAGCTGCCATATGAGTTAAATGAAATAATTCCCCCAAAGAGTCCAGGCTTAGCAAGTCCTCACTGGACAGCGTCTTTGATTCCTGTCCATGTTCTTGTCCTCAGTCCTGGGTTCCTGACTTTTTTCCTCCCTGGGGCCATAGAAATGGCCTGACTATTTGCACAGAATCCTGGGATGGGCCCACAGGAGAGAGGCAAGGATAGAGAGGGCCTAGAGACCCTGGCTTGGGAGGAAGCACAGAAGGACCAGGGGCCATGGAGCTGGGAAAGATGAGGCTCACAGGGGACACAGTCCCTTCAGCCAGAACATGGGTGGGCACATGGACAAGGCTGTAGACACAGTGAGGGGGCACGTCTCCACCCAAGGTGTGCTCAGCGGCACCATAGGGATGGCTGGTGCTCAGTGGCACCAGGGGGAAGGCTCCGACCCTGATGGAGAAGCAATGGGACTTTCAATAATTCCTCTAAAATACACAACTGGGATTCCCTCCTGCATTATGCATTCATAACAGTGGCTAAACGGTGGGCTCCGGAGCCAGATGGCTTGGGCACCAAGGATCTGCCACCTGGGATCTGTGCGATTCGGGGCAGGTCATTGGTCAATGTCTCCCCTGCAGACTGGGAATAATCACCGACCCCACCTCACAGACTGCTGTAAGACTCAGATATGTTAGTCCATGAGAATGAAGCCTGGCGTGTGAGGCGGGCCACAGATGTGGGTGTTTTCATTCTAGAGGGCTCAAGAGGGAGGAGCTTTGTGAGGAAGGGCAGGAGAGTGGAGTGGTTAGGTACATCCAAGTTCTTGGCCTTTGGGTCAGACTTGAGTCATCTATCTGCTTCTTGTTAGCTGGGTGAGCTAGGAGAGTAATGAAACTTCTCCAAACCTTCGGTTCCTCAGCTGTAGGAGAGGCACACTCTGACCTCACAGAGTACTTGAAGAGTTTCACTGAGATCACACATGAAAAATACTCAGCACAGAACCTGGCCTATAAAAGATGTTAAATAAAT
The DNA here is from genome assembly GCF_000001405.40 of Homo sapiens. NCBI lineage: Eukaryota > Metazoa > Chordata > Mammalia > Primates > Hominidae > Homo > Homo sapiens. The sequence goes on along the minus strand of NC_000022.11, from coordinate 35,113,084 downwards.
GATAGTAGGATAAACATTACTGTTATTGATGATGAAAGAATCAGGGAGGTGAATTTCAGCTCAGCCCAAGGAAGGGCTCCAGATGGAATCTCACCTTCAACAGTGGGAGTGGGCTTCCTTAACAAGTCATGAATGTCTTGTGGCTGGAGGCGTTCAAGCAGGGGCCCAGGGATTGCTTCCCAGGGATGGAATGGAGGAAATCCATTACTGATGCGAAGCTGTATTATTCACACTCAGCATACCTTCCAGTTTGAAAATAGGGGCCGGGCGCAGTGGCTCATGCCTGTAATCCTAGCACTTTGGGAGGGCGAGATAGGTGGATCACCTGAGGTCAGGAGTTCGAGACCAGCCTGACCAATATGGCGAAACCCTGTCTCTACTAAAAATACAAAAATTAGCCAGGCGTGGTGGTGGATGCCTATAATCCTAGCACTTTGGGAGGCCGAGTTGGGTGGATCACCTGCAGTCAGGAGTTTGAGACCAGCCTGGCCAACATGGTGAAACCCCATCTCTACTAAAAATACAATAATTTTCTGGGCATGGTGGCAGGTGACTGTAATTTGAACTGCTTGGGAGGCTGAGGCAGGAGAATCGCTTGAACCTGGGAGGCAGAGGTTGCAGTGAGCTGAGGTCTTGCCACTGCACTCTAGACTAGGTGACAGAGCAAGACTCTGTCTCAAAAAAAAAAAATGTAGGCCTGTTTGTCGGGGCTCATTGGCTTGTCCAGCCAGGGAGGTTAACCCTAAAGGGGTGATTTTCTATCTGCATAGGGAAAAATATTAATATGAATCCCTAGAAAAAAATGTTCTAGGTCAAACAAGATTGGAAAGTGTTGGTCCATCTCAGGAAGCCACAATGCATATCAGCACATTTAAGGCTCTGAGAAGTCCTGCAAAAAAAAAATCTGAAGAAATTTGTTTTGTTTTGTTTTTAAATTGAGCCCCTATTTGGATATTGCAAGGCGGTTCTAAGTTCAACAGAACATACTCTAGAAACATCTGTCTATGATAGATCCCAACTCTTGGAACTTGCTCAATGTGATGGCCCACCTCACCCTGAAACCCAGACCCTCTCAGAGACTTCTGGAGCAGTGAGCTTTCCTCTCCAACACCCTGTCATTGCCGAGGGAGCCTGAATTTGTAAACTGTACAGTCATCCCAGTCCCTGCCTTTTGTCACTGGTTTCTATGACATATGATGGCCCATGGACATATGAAGACTGTCTTATAGGCCTCTCTTTGCCCCTTAAAAATGTTGGTCTGCCAGGCATTCGGCAACTTGGGCTGTAAGTGGGTTCCTGGCTGTTATTTCTGCCCTGGTTATGCCAGAGGTTTCACACCCCATCCTATTTCCCTGAGCCCCAGGACATATCAACCACTTCATCGCATACTAACCTTTGTGCACACAGCACAATGACAGCTAAGGAATAAATAGAATCTTGCAAGAAGTTGCTTACTCTCCAACTCCCCTCTGCGGAAGCAAGCTTGGAGATCACAGCAGGTGTGTCTGTCATGTTTGCTGGTGAATTCTTAGCACTAGGGCAGTGCCTGGCACACAGTAGGTTCTCAATGAGTGCTGCCAAAAGGATGAACATCTCAGTCCTGAGGGTCATTTGAAAGTAGAAACTGAACTTTGCTTTAGGGTCATTAATGCGATTTCAGAGATCACAAGCTGGATAAGAAAACAACTTTGTCCTGGGCTTGATTGCATCATTATGAAAAACTCGAGGAAGGATCCCAGGATGGAGAATCAGGTTTCTTGGGCTCTTACACCCCCATCCTCCCTGACTGTGTTCCAGTTGAGGCCCACTGCTCCCTTCCCACCAGCCTTCTCTTCCTGTCTCTGGGGTTTTTGTTCGTGCTGTTCCTGTCCTGAAAAGCCAGCCCTCCACTTCTCTCTGTCTCTTCCTTCCCTCCCTTCCCCTCCCCTCCCCTCCCCTTCTCTTCCCTTCCCTTCCCTTCGAAGAAGTCTCACTCTGTCACTCAGGTTGAACTGGGGTGCAGTGGCGTGATCTTGGCTCACTGCAACCTCTGCCTCCCAAGTTCAAGCAATTCTCCTGTCTCAGCCTCCTGAGTAGCAATTCTCCTGTTTCAGCCTCCTGAGTAGCTGGGATTACAGGCATGTGCCACCACACCTGGCTAATTTATTTGTATTTTTAGTAGAGACAGGGTTTCAGCATGTTGGCCAGGCTGGGCTCAAACTCCTGACCTTAAGTGATCTGCCCACCTTGGCCTCCCAAAGTGCTGGGATTACAGGTGTGAGCCACCGCACCCGGCCTGTCTGTTGTTCTTTCTTCTTACTTTTTCAGTGGTTAGAAATCTACCACATTTTCATGACACCTTTTCAGACTCTTCAAAGCAATTACTTTTGCCACATCTTTGGGCTCTTCCCTTGAGGTTTAACTATTTAATTGTCCATTTCCCCAGCCAGATGCCACATTTCCTAAAGGCCATGTGCCACATCTTCTAATCTCAGCATGTGGCATAGGATTGGACATGCTGGAGCTTAGCACAGTGATTCTCAGTACCAGCAATTGAACGTTTGCCATGTACCAGTGCTATGATAAGTTGCCTAAAGCATCTCATTCCTTGGGCTGTAGGTATACAGTACTCTTGTCAATGCCGTTTTACAGATGGAGACATTGGGGTTTATAGCTCAAGCTTGCATAGCTGGGCAGTGGTGGCAGAGTTGGGACACAAGCCGAGGACTTCCAGAGCCTGGACATTCAACTCATCACACTCAGTGGGCTCAAACCCTATAGGGACTGGTGAGATGAGGCCCCCCGCTCCCAACATTGGTTTCTTCATTTCTTGAACTAAGGCCTTATATGGGAATGTATATATTGGAAAGAGTGAGAACCTTGGAGACAGATGGTCCTGGTTCTAGGCATGGCTTCAATGTTTACTGTCCTTTGACCTTGAGTGCAATTGACAGTAGCAACCCTCTAGGACCATTGAGAGGACTCGGGGGGATGTTATATGTGAGGCGGTGCCCACAGTCCCTGGCTGCCCAAGAACATCTAATACATGTTATTCTCCTTCCCATTCCCGCCTTTAATGCTTTAAGTTCCTCTAAAATCTTTATCTGATTTTGATTGTAACCTTTATATATTTTGGGATTCAAAAAAATCTTCAACTCCCAGAGTATGGTGGATGTCCCATAATTTTTGTGAACTGATCCAAGTTAGGCCCAGGAGGAATGTCTTGTGGAATTCCACCTGACATGGGGTGTTGGAGGCAGAGATATCTGGGTTTGACTTTTGCCCTACATTTACCTTACATCGACTCTGCAACCATGAGTAATTTATACAACCTCATGGAACCTTGGTCTGTTTATTTGTGCCATGGAGATAACAGAACTCATCGCATTGGGGGTATTTTTAGAATTAAATAAGATAATGAAGATAAAGCAATTTGCACAGTGCCTGGCACGTACTAATTGCTGAAAATATTTAGTTTTGGTAATAATCGTTTTTCCCATTTTCTTGCTCATTAGTCAACATGGAAGAAACTGATGTCAGTTCAGGTTATTTTTCCAAGGTCACCAAGAAAGTCTAGGAAGAGTTGGCATACAGTGCAGTTTTCCTCATTTATATGCTGTGCACTGCCCGAGGGCAGAAGGGAATCCTGCGGTGAATGTCATTCATTCATTCAGCAAACATTCATCAAGTGTCTACCATGCATCAGACACTGTGCTGTGAGCTGGAGGCAAAGTCAACCAGGACTTCATCCTTCTTTCAAGAAGCTGATGGTTTAGAGCGTGAGACAGGCAAAAAGAAGATACCCCTGTCTGATCACTACTGTGGTCCAGGCACAGCGGATGCTGTGGGTCACCTAACCAGTCTGTGGGGCTGGCAACAGCTTCTTGGTAGAGGGGAGGGATTATTCTTGACAGAAGGAACAGCATACGCAAAGGTGCAAAGATGTGAAAAGCATAATCTAGACGTCTCCGTCTGGGAAGATAGAGTAGATGTACTTTCCCAGAGTTCTCCACTAAGTGCAACTAAAAACCATGGACATCGGTTAGGAAATAAACACAGGAAGACTCTAAGAGGTGGAGAGAAGACATAGACTAGCTAGGGAACTTGGGATCCAAGGAATGGCATGGTGAGTTCCCTGTTTTTTTTTTTTCCCTTACATTTCCCAAATTGGGGTTGAAGAAGCTGGCAACCTGGAAATGGACCATTTTGTCCCCCTAAAGCCTGCTTTATTTAGCCAAAGGGCCAGAAAAGTGGCATCCTAGCAAGACAGAAACCTTTTGATTAATAACTGCTCTATTCCACTCAAACTCTGTAGGAAAAAATACAGCCCAATCCCCACCCAGGCCAGCAGAGGCCGTGTGGGGACTGGCCTCTACTTCCACACTAATGAGGTTATAATGACGCTCTCCAAATCCCTTGCTGGGGTGGTGTCTCAGAAGGGTGAGTAAGGATCTGAGGATTTTATCCCCACTGGCTAGGGACTAGCCCCTACCTTGTGGCATCAGAGAAGACCATGGGCAGAGTCTGGACTTCACTCTGCCAGGCAGCAGTCCTCTCTCTCTCCCTATTGGAGTGATCAGAGGAGGCCTTGTAGAGAGTCAGGACTTTCATTATTGCCCATAGTTAATGAGACCACCTACTCATTGCAGTGCCAATGACGATCAGATGGAGAGCTAACCCCACCCCCTCCAGTGGTAATGAGAAGCCCTTCCCCCTACCTTGGGTGTCAGTGTGGGGGGAATCTGGACTTCTACCTCTACTTAACAGTAATGAGCTGGTACCCTTCTTTCCCCGACCAGAGTGGAATGGTGTTAGAGACATATGGCAAAAACAGAAGGTTCAAATAAGATTGAATCTCAAAATATATAAAAATGTTCATGTTTCACTAGAAAATCACCCATCATAAGAACTAAGAGGCTGTCAAAGTGAATGAAAAAAGATGGTTAATAGGTGCCAAAGCTAAGAGGACAGAGATGTCAGGATTATCTCAAATATTTTAAAGAAGTTGCAATAAAAATGCTTCAACAAGCAATAAAGAACACACTTGAAACAAATGAAAACATAGAAAGTCTCAGGAAAGAAATAGAAGAGATAAAGAAAAACCAAATGAAAGTTTTGGAACGGGGAAATACAATAATAGAAAAAAATAAAACCTATGTGGTTAGGCTCAACATCAGAATGGAGGAGACAGAGCAAAGATTCAGTGAACCTGAAGATAGAATAACAGATATCTGAACAACAGAGAGAAAATAGATTGGAAAAAAAATGAACAGAGCTTCAGGGCCCTGGGACACTATAACAAAAGTTCAAACGTGTGTCATCGGAGTCCCAGAAGGAAAGGAGGAAAAAGATAGGACTGAAAAGGCACTTCCTTTCTCCTTGTGAGCTTTATAAATTGCTTGATCGCTAAAGCAAAAATTATAACACTGCCTGATGTGGTTCTAAATGTAGATAGAGGAAACATTTAAGACATATTATAAATGGGAGAGAGTAAAGGAACATGTAGGGAGGCAAGCTTCCATATTTTACTTGAACTGATAAAATGATGACACCAGTGGACTATGGTAAGTCATAGGTATATATAACGTAATACCTAGAGCAACCAATAAAAAGGTATACACTCAGAAATACTATAGATAATTAAAAATGGAAAATATGTTCAACTATGCCACAAAAAATGCAACAGAGAAACCAAAACACAGAGAACAAACAGAAAAAATTAGATGATAGACTCAAGCCCTAACATATTAATAATTATATTAATTAAAACATACCAATTAAAAACAGAGACTGGTAGAGTGGATTTAAAAGATAGTACAAAAAAGTAAATTACAAACCAATTTTTCTTGTGAATACAGATGCAAAAGTCCTTAACAAAATATGAGCAAATAGAATGCAGTAATATATAAAAATAATTATACACTATGATCAAATGAGGTTTATTCCAGGGATGCAAAGTTGGTTTAACATTCGAAAAATCAACCAGTGTAATTTACCATATTGACAGCCTGAAAAAGAAGAATTACGTGATCATGTCATTTAATTCAGAAAAAGCATTTTAAAAATTCAGTACCTATTCATGCAAAAATTCTCAGAAAAATAAAAATGGGGAGAACTTCCTCATCTTGATAAGGAACATCAAAAAAAAAATCTAAAGCTAACATTACACTTAATGGTGAAAGAATGAATGCTTTTCCCCTAAGATCAAGAATAAGGTGAGAATGTCTGCACTCACAGTTCTTACCACTTTTATTCAACCTTGTGCTGGAAATTCTGACTAATGCAATAAGGCAAGAAAAGAAAAGGCATGCAAATCATAAAGGAAGAAATAAAATTGTCCCTATTTTTGGATTACATGATTATCTATGTAAAAAATTCCAAGGAATCTATGAAAAACTACTAGAATTAACAAGTGAATTAGTAAGTTCACAAGACACAAAAAGAACTTACCAAAATCACTTGTATTTATATGTACAGCAAGAAACATATGGCCACCAATGTTAAAAGTGCAATATCATGTGAATTTCTTAATAAAAAAGAGAAACACATAGGTGTAAACCTAATAAAACTTGTAAAGGATTTGCATTCTAAAAACTACACAACGTTGATGAAAGCAATAGAAGGAGAGCTGGATAAATGGAGACACATGCTGTGTTACGAATCAGAAGACTCAACATAGTACATCTGTCAGTTCTTCTCAAATTCATATACATATTTAACACAATTCCTATCAAAATACCAACAAGATTGTTTTTGTACATACAGACAAGATTATTCTAAAATTTATGTGCAAAGACAAAGGAACTAGAAGGTAAGGTAAAATCATTTTGTAAAACAAGAATAATGAGGAAGGAGTCAGTCTACCCACTTTCAAGACTTACTATACAGCTATGGTAATGAAGACCACGTAGTGTTGCTGAAGCAATGGACACATAGGTGGAACAGAATGTAGAACCCAGAAATAACTGAACACAAATATGTTCAACCATTTTCGATGAAGGTGCAAAAGCAATCGAGTTGATGAAAGAGAGCCTTTTTAATGAGTGGTGCTAGAACAATTGGGCACCCATAGGCAAAATGGAAACCCCAACCTATGTCTCACACCTTAGATAAAAATTAACTTCAAATGAATAATAGACTTAAAATGCAAAATGAAGAAACTTCTAGGAAGAAAATAGAAGAAAATCTTTGGGCTCTCTGGCTAGGCAAAGAATCTTAGACTTGCCACTCAAAGCAAGATCCATAAGAGAATAACAATAAATTGGGCTTTATCAAAATTAATAACTATTGCTCTATGAAAACCCTGTTAAGGGAATAAAAGGATAAGCTACTGTGTAGGAGAAAATATTTCCAATCTGCATGTCTGTAAAATGATAGTACTTATTTAAATGACTCTCAAAACTCAGTACTAAAAAGCAAACCATTCGGTGAGAACATAGTGAAAAGATATGAAGAAATTTCACTGAAGAAGATATACGGGTGGCAAATAAGCACATGAAATGATATTCAATGTCATTAGCAACTAGAGAAATGCAAATTAAAACCACAATGAGATATCACTATATATCTATCATTAAGGCTAAACTTAAAAGTACTGTTAATACTAAATGTTGATGAGGGTGCAGAGAAACTAATCACTCATTGTTGCTGGCGGGAATGTAAAATGGCACAGTCACTCTGGCAAACAGCTTGGCAGTTTCTTTAAAAACTAAACATGCAATATGGCCATGGCATTCCCAATAATTTATCTCAGAGAAATGAAGATGTGTTCGCATGAAAACCTGTATTCAAATATTTAAGGCATCATTATTCACAATAGCCACACTCTGGAAGGAACTCAGCTGTTTTTCAGGGGGTGAAAAATGATCAAACAGACTGTGTGGTGCATCCACGCCATGGCATAGTGCTCGGTGGTAAAAAGCAACGGACCATTGGCACACGAAGCAACTTGAATGGATCTCAGGAGAGTTATGCTGAGTAAACAAAGCTAATCACTAAAGGTTACAAACTGCATGATTCCACTTATATAAACGATTGAAAGGATAAAACGATAGAAATGCAGAACGGATTAGTGTTTGCCAGGGATTAAAGACAAAGTGAAGGTGGGAGGGGTGTGAATGTGGTTATGAAGGGCAACATGAGGAATCTTGTGTTTTTGGAAATTTTATGTATCTTGACTGTGTCAATGTCAATATCCTAGTTGTGATAGTGTTTTGCCAGATCTTACCATTGGAGAAAACTGGGTAAAGGATATTTGGGATCTCTGTATGTTATTTCTACCACCCCCGTTATCTTCCAAAAGTACCCCCAGAAGGCTGACTGCCCACTGTTTTGGGTGCAAATACCTGCCCCAACCAAGGGCGTGTGTTGTCATGGAACAGAAAGCCACTCATTCTATCTTCAGCCCCAGAGTGGGAAGGAAACGAGAGACGCAGGTGCAGATTTCCTGAGCTTTGTTGCGTTATTAACAGATTTCGATGGGGGTTAAAAAGCCTCGTGGTCAAAGTCTGAGACGCACTGGGTTCCACACAGTTACACTTTCCTGCGGAACCTGGTTTCTTTCCCGTAGATCTTCCCAGAACCTTGGACATGCAATGAGCTCCGAGATTCTGTACGAGGGAGCCACGCTTTACAAATTTCCCAAGCCCATTCGTCCTAGGAAACTTTTCATCAAATACCAACAAACATCTCAGGAATCACAAGATATCCAGGGTTTCTATTTGGGAAATGCTGGACTAGATGTTTCTTCAGGCTTTCTAGCTCTGATATTTTGTGATTCTGGAGAGGAAACTTCTAGGGATGGGACATGTTTCTCCCACTAAATCCACAGCAAGGGGCCTGTCCCACCCACATCTGCTGTAGAGAGCAGCCGGCCATAGAACTTTAAAAAGCCTCCTCTTCTCTCATTGCCATGAGCAGCCATCTTTCCTTCTCTCGTCTTCCCTGTCTACTCCCCACCCCCAACCAGGTTCCCAGTTTATGGCCCCCTTCAAATAACATCTCGGGATTTTTGGGGCGATAAGAACCACCCTGTAATTGTTTGAGAGCTGTAAATGACTTAAATTGGTTACGATTCTAATTACCATGAAATGACTTTATTGCCTCCTGGCTGTAACCTTCCTCCCTGGGGAGTACAGGTCCCTATTCCCAGGGGTCACACAGCGGTCAGGGCCCAGGCTGCTGGGGAAGAGGTGAGAGGCCTTCTTTTTCCCAAACCCTGAGAATGTCTGGGAGCAGCCCGGGCTGGTGAAAGTGACCACAATGGAGGCCCCCTCAGCCCCTCTCCTCCCTCCAGCCCTCCATCGACCTCCTGGTGACCTTGGTAGGCCCCTGCCACTCTCTGTCTGAGTCTTGACACTCATCTTCGAGGACTGCTTCTCTATCCCACTTGGAATCCTGGAGCCTAAATCCATGTATTTATTTCAGCGTTCACAAGTTTATAGTAGTGGGGGTTATTGTAGGCACAAAACTAAGTAGTCATAATGCAGGATTTATTCATTCATCTAACATTTATTGAGCATTTACCATATGCTAGACACTGCTAGAGAAGAGAACAAACACAGTGCAGAAGGGGAGGCTGTGTGTATATACACAGTGTATACTCGCACGGATTAAGCATACATACATGCACACATCATGTGCACATTTATAGAGGCTTTGACATTACACAAGCCTGAATTCAAATGAGACCCCTGCCGTGTAACACTGAGTAAGTTGCCTCCCCTCTCTGACACTTATGATGCCTGTGTCATGGGATTGGTATAAGAATAAAGCATTTGGCACGTGGTAGGACCTCAGTATATGGGACCTCTATAATCTCAATAAAGGTACATAATGTTGTGAGAGTGAAAAGGAAGAATCACTATAAAAGATAATATATAACTGATCTATGATATCTATCTATAAAGATAATATAACACTTTTTCTAAGCTGCAAAGTCATATGCATGTAATAGCCACCCAGCTCATTCTAAGCACTCGTGTTATATGCAAAGGGTGTTCTTATTTTAAAGGAGGGAGTGAGGACTGTGAGGGGTGGGAGGAGGGCAGCTGTTTGAGTAGGGCCTTGAAGTTTGAGTAGAGTTACAAGAGCTGAAGAGAGGAGAGGATATTTCTGACCAAGGACAGCGCAGGGGAAGGGTGTGCGCTAGGAATGTGCCTGAGAGCTAGGAATGTTCCTGGAGCCTCAGATGATTCAGAGTGGTTGGGAGGCAGGGTTCCTGCAGGGCTGTGGGGGAGGAGGGGTTGCAGAGGTGGAGGGAGAAGGGGAGTTCAGGCAACTTCCTCTTCTGGTTTTCATATTAAACTTGAACTTGCCTTTCTAGATTTTCGCATTTTGGTCCTGGTTTTGCCTGGTGGGGCGGTGCAGAGCAAGTCTCCCCTCTTATGCCAGACAAGCTGTTCAGACATTTGACTGTTGGGGTGTATCTCGGAGGCCCCCAGCTGCCTCCCAAGCACCCAGGTTCCTTCATGTGACCCTGAGGAGACCTGATTTGGAGAACCTGTGCCTTCCAGATAATTTTTTTCTGTTCTAGTCTTCTTTTATTAAAAAATAAATAAATGATTTCTGGATTAACTTTTTTGTTATGGAAAATTTCTAGCATATACAAAGGTAGAGAAGATAGCTTAATGAACACCCATTTGCCCACCAGCAAGTTGCAACATCTAGTAACATTATGCCAGTCATTTTTTAAAATCTCTCCAACCCTCGTGTGTGTGTGTGTGTGTGTGTGTGTGTTTTGGAGTATTTTAAAGCAGGGCCAAAACATTATGTCTTTTTTCTTATAAGATTTTCATGTGCATCAGAGGAACATTAAAAAATCAAATTATGGGTTAAAGCAAGCTTGTCAAATCCGTGACCCGCAGGCCACATGCGGCCCAGGATGGCTTTGAATGCCGCCCAACACAAATTTGTACACTTTCTTAAAACATTATGATTTTTGCCTGTAGTCTCAGCACTTTGGGAGGCTGAGGCAGGTGGATCACGAGGTCAGGAGTTCGAGACCAGCCTGACCAACATGGTGAAACCCCGTCTCTACTAAAAATACAAAAATTAGCCAGGCATGGTGGTGTGTGCCTGTAATCCCAGCTACTCAGCAGGCTGGGGCAGGAGAATCACTTGAACCCGGGAGGCGGAGGTTGCAGTGAGCTGAGATTGCGCCACTGCACTCATCCATCCTGGGAGAGAGAGCGAGGATGTCAAAAACAAACAAACAAACAAAAAACAAAACATTATGATTTTTTTTGCGATTTTTTTAAAGCTCATCAGCTATTGTTAGTGTTAGTGTATTTTATGTGTGGCCCAAGACAATTCTTTCATCCAGTGTGGCCCAGAGAAGCCAAAAGATTGGACACCCTTTGGTTAAAGGGTGCAGCCATACAGTAAGATAAAAGGAATATATTCACTGTTTGATAGTAGAATTGTGCTTGGGGGATGGACATCTTAAATACCCTGACTTGATCACTATGCATTATATACATGTAACACAATTCTCATGTACCCCATACATTTGTACAAGTAAAAAAAAAAACACATTATTATGACGGTCAACACAATTAACAGAAAATTTTGATATCCTCTGTTACTCAGTCCATATTCAGAGTACCTTGATTGTATCTAAGGTTTTTCTTAATTTTATTTTTTTTTCAAAATCAGGGTTTAGAAAAGATTTACGTAGTGTGTTTGCTTGCTACGTACCTGAAGTAGCTTTTATTCTGAACAGTTCCTCTCCTATTTTTTCCATGCTGTAGATTTGTTTTTGTTTGTTTGTTTGTTTTTTGAGACAGAGTCTATTTCTGTTGCCCAGGCTGGAGTGCAGAGGTGCAGTGTCGGCTCACTGCAACCTCCACCTCCCAGGTTCAAGCAATTCTCCTGCCTCAGCCTCCCGAGTAGCTGGGATTACAGGCCTGTGCCACCACACCTGGCTAATTTTTGTATTTTTGGTAGAGACTGGGTTTCACCATGTGGGCCAGGCTAGTCTTAAACTCCTGACCTCAAATGATCCTCCAGCCTCAGCCTCCCAAAGTGCTGGGATTACAGGCATGAGGCACCATGCCCGGCCCATGCCATAGATTTGTTGGAGAAATGGAATCATTTGTCCTGCTGACTGTCCTATATTCTGAACATGGCTGATTAGTTCTGCATGGTGTTTAGTTTTTTTTTTTCTATCCTCTATGCTTGCTGTAAATAGGTACTTAAGTCTACAGAAGAACTGGAGTCAGGTTCAATTGTTTAGGTGAGAACACCTCACAGGTGGTGCCGTCTACTCCCCACTGCCTTAGGTCAGGATTCGTGCAATGTAGCTATTCCAGTCTTAGTGAGACTAAGACTAATTGTGGGTTCAGATGGTGCCAGCCTGATCTCTCTGCAGGTCATTTCTCTTGTGCATGGTCCACTTTGTCTGCATTTCTCTCAAGAGGAAGCACCAAGAAGGAAATGCATCACTCCAGTTAGGGCTGGATTACAGAGGAGTATCACCTCCCTTAGCCTTCATCTAATGCTCCCATTTATGCAGTTGAAGGTCCCATTAACTCATTAGGGGGCTGTAGCACATTGCTAACTTCTACTGAGCTCACCTTGGAATAAACTACCTAAACCTTTTCTTGTAGATGATTACTAAGCCACCTCTTTTTCTTCATGAACTTTCCTGGTTGGTTTTCTGGTCTCAAGGGCAGGTCCTTATATTTATTAACAGGAAGTTTCATCTTGTTTCAGCCAGCTCTTCAAGATTTTTTTCCATTGTGATTTTTCCATTGTAAGAAGGCTGGTAGGAGAAGGGGCCTCAGAGAGCACTGATGTTTATGCTTTCACCTTACAGATGAGGAAAATGAAGTACGGAGAGATTGTTTTGAATTAAGTGGTTCAAGGTCATGCACCATGGGGTAGACTGTTAGACTGGTGACCCCCCAGTGAATCACACTTCCAGATCTTCACATGTTTGTGTAGTCTCCTCCCACATGGACCTTGGGTGTGGCCTTGTGACATCAGCAAGCAACGTAAGCAAAAGCTCAATAAGCACTTGCACACTAGGCTTGTCTCATTGGAATGCTAGCTCTGGGAAGCCAGCCACCTCACTGTAAAAAAGATCAGACCTGAGTACATGGTTAGGAGGCCTGGAGGGTGAAAGGCCTCAGCCTGCATGTTCCAGCCCCAGCGGCATGAGGGACCTCACCCTATGCTATGTGAGCAGAATAACCATCAGCTGAGCCTGGTCAACCCACAGAATCATAAGATGATCAGTTGTGGCTGTCAAGGCTCTACTTTTGGGGTGGTTTGTTATACAATAACAGATATGGAAACAGAGCTGTCTATGGAAGCTGGGATGAGAACCCACTTCTGACTCAGAGTGCCAATCCCTCTCCACAGGGCCAGTCTGTCTCCTGGGGCCATTCGTCTTTAAGGTGGGCATTCACCTTTGAACCTTTGCTCAAGTCAAATCTTCTTGTAGGGGCTTCTCTTCATTACTGCAACCTGCAGCCCACCTGCAGTGGGGTCTTCCCCTTAACCTCTTCCCCTTAGCCCTGCCACATCTTTGCTTTTATTCTATATCGCTTATTATATTTTGGTATCCTATACAGTTTACTTCTTTATTGTGTTTATTTTGGTTCTGTCTTTCTCTGCTGGAGGGTAAGCCCCTTATGAGGCTTCTGAACATACACACACACACACACACACACACACACACACACACACAGACACACACACGTGGGTAATCCCTACCAGGGTAGGGCTTTGGTCTGTTTTGTTCACCACTGAATCCTAGCACTTGGAACAAGGCCTGGCACATAGGGTCTTGATATTATTGGTTGTATGGATGAATGAATCTACTCTAAAATTCTGGTTCTCCTCCAGTGTTCTAATCATACCGTCTGTATCATTATCCAAGCAGTTAGTGGAAGTGTTGAATATTTCTTAGGGCTGATAGCAATCTGGTAATTAGTGCAGTCATTTCACAAATATTTATTGAGTCTTTACTGTGTGCCAGGCACTGTTCTAGACACTTGGGACCCGTCAGTGCACAAAGCAGTCAGGAATCTGAAGCTTGCATGCTATAGGGGAGATAAGGAGCAAACTGAAAGAAAAGTAAATCATAGGGTATATCAGGTACTATGGAGGACAAGAAAGCAGACAAAGGGCTATGGTTACGAGGAGGTGGGAGTGGGAGGGTTCACAGTAAGCCCTCTGGTCAGGGAAGGCCTCCCTGGGAAGGTGGTGTTGGAATAAAGGCTTAAGGAAGGTGCGGGAGGGGTCATGTGGGATTGTGGGGAAAGAGTGTTTTAAGCAGTGGGAACAACCAGTGCCAAGACCCTGAGGCAGGAGTGTGCCTTTTGTATATGTCCTTTAGTCTCTTTAACTTATCCACTTGGACTTGCATCAAGCCAGTATTTCTCCATGACAGTAAAAGTCTTCGTCAAATGCTTCAACAACACCCATTTGTCTGTTGTAGTCAGTGTGACTAAGGTCCCAGTTTGTTTGGGCAGTCCTGGTTTATACCTAGTTGTCCTACTATGACTATTAACAGCCTTTCCTTTTCGTTCTCAAGGGTGTCATGGTTGGGATGCTAAATTATCTGGCCATCCTGGTTATGACTATCTGAACTTCTCTCCCCTGTTAAAGGATAGTTTTCAATATTGAAATTGTAATTCTCTTAGAAGTATAAAACGAACACCTGGCAGAGATTTTATTTAACTCATTAATTAATGAGGGAGCCAGTAAGATGTTACAGATGGTTCAATGAAAATTGGACTTCAGGGAGAGCTATATTCTCTATTGGACAAAATTCATTTGGGCTACCATGGACAGGAACCCCATGCAGTGTTATGAATGGGAAACATCTGGATCATTGGGAGCCCTCTGCACGTTAACTTCTATCTATACAGAGCTGCAGAAGAGTCCAGCGAAGACAGCCCTAGGTGCAGACCCTGCAGAGTCTGCTTGCCTCTGGGGTCTACTAGGGAATGCCCAGCTCTCCATGGGAAGGACACCCAGCAGGGCCAGCCTCAATATGTGACTTGTGTTGTTACCCAGGGCTCTGTTCTTAAGAGGAGCACACACTTAGTTTAATGCTCTGCTGTTGCAGTCTTGTAATTCTTAATCCTCTTTTAAAGTGGGGTTCTTGATTTCATTTGCGCTGGGCCCTGTGAAGCTTGCAGCCGGTCCTGACACCCAATCATCTGTTTTGCCCATTGTTCACAGTTTTCCCTGACCTTCCCCATGACTCCAGCCCCTTCTGCTCTTCCTTTGTGTTTAGCTCCAGATAGATGTTTGAGGTGATGGATGTGTTAATTACCCTGATTTGATCAGTACACAATGTATACATGTATCAAAACATCATATTGTATCCCATTATTACGTATAATTATTACGTGTCAATCATAAGAAAAGAAACCAAACAATTAATTTGAGTGACTCAGCCCACAGGGGACTATTTTGTTAGCCATGGCCCCAGAGAAAGACTAGTAATAGCTTCCATTGGGAACCTTTCTCTGCAGACCCTGAGGCTCGTGGCAAACCATGCTCATTAGTCCTGGCCTCCACCTTTCGGGGAGAAAGGAGTCAGTGCTATTTGAGCCAGTTTCTGACTGGGATCCTGGGGCATAGTAAGGAAGTGACTCGACATCTCCTGGGAACTCAGGCAAGGAGTCTGGGCTCAGAATCTGGCTTTCTGCAAACTGGAGAGAGTTCCAGAATATCAGAACTGGAAGATACCTCAGAAGTCATATTGATCAGTCGTATCGGACAGATGAGGAAACCGAGTTGCTGAAAGTAGGTGGCAAATCGGTCACTGCCTGCCATGCAGGATGGGGATGTGACCAGAGCTCAGGCTTCGCGAATCCCAGGCCAGAAGTTTACTTTATATCATGAATGTCTGAACAAAGAGTGCCTAAAGACCCGTGTGGAAGAGGTTAAGTCTGACTAGGGCCCTGGGAGGGGGGAAGCAGGAAATGGGGCTGGAACTGGAGGTGGGCTCTGATTTGTGTAGGTGGAGATAAGATGGACTTGGTGTGAACAGCAGAAACAAAGACTAGAGGGTGGGAGAGTCACTCATGGGGGCCAGATGGTGAGGTCCCTGGTGTATTTCAACACGGCACGGTGTAAAGTACTATGTGTATGGCCTGAGGGCTAAGACCCTAGGCTTTGGAGCCACATGGATCTGAGTTTGAATCTCAAATGGAGATAAGTTTCTAGACCCTGGGCAACATAATGAGACTCTACCTCTACAAAAAGTAAAAGAAATTAGCCAGGTGTGGTGGCACATTCCTGTAGTCCCAGCTACTTGGGGGGCTGAGGTGGGAAGATGGCTTGAACGCAGGAGTTCAGAGCTGCAGTGAGCCATGATTGCACCACTGCACTCCAGCTTGGGCAACAGAGTGAGACCCTGTCCAAAAAAAAAATGTTGCTGGGAGCAATAAACAAAATAATACATGTTAAGTGCCTGGCATTAAGTACTCAATAAACATTTGCTGAGCTGGGCATGGTGGCTCATGCCTGTAATCCCAGCACTTTGGGAGGCTGAGGTGGATGGATCACCTGAGGTCAGGGGTTTGAGACCAGCCTGGCCAACATGATGAAACCCCGTCTCTACCAAAAATACAAAAATTTGCCAGGCGTGGTGGCGGATGCCTGTAATCCCAGCTACTAGGGAGGCTGAGGCAGGAGAATCGCTTGAACCCAGAAGGCGGAAGTTGCAGTGAGCTGAGATCATGCCATTGCACTCCAGCCTCGGCAACAAGAACAAAACACCGTCTCAAAATCAATCAATCAATCAATAAACAAACATTTGCTGTTATTATTGCTGTTATTGTCATTATTGCTAATGTAATGAACATTATGGCTGATTTTCCAACATTCATTCCCTCCGTAAGAATGTGTGTAAGTTAATCATGCCATCCTCTTCTCTTTGCTAATAATTGAGCAGGATTGGGCTGTGACACTGCTTTGACCAATAATGTGAGGGGAAGTCTACCGAGGGGCTTTTTGGGAAGGTTTCTTCATTTCCAGATCAGTTATTGCTCTCTCCTCCTCTGGACATTGCCATGCCTGGACACGCCTAAAACTGCTGAGGATGAGGCCAGCCGTGAGGCTGGTAGAGCAGCCTAACCCTAAGGAGTGAGTTCCTGGTGATATTGCGGAGCTTCCGAATCAACCAACCCCGCAGCCTACTCTAAATCTGGACTTCAGTGAAATAATGGTTTCCCTTGCTATTTAAACCAACTCAAGCT
The DNA here is from genome assembly GCF_000001405.40 of Homo sapiens. Classification (NCBI taxonomy): domain Eukaryota; kingdom Metazoa; phylum Chordata; class Mammalia; order Primates; family Hominidae; genus Homo; species Homo sapiens. Next base: position 35,095,883 of record NC_000022.11, on the reverse strand, counting down.
GTATTTTTTGTTATCTGCAGCTCAAAGCATAAGACATACAGGATCCATGCAAGAAGGGATACCCTTTCTCTTACTTTTCTATCTCTTGCAGCCTTTGGTAGCATGTCTGGTGATATTCAGGGTGCTTAATAGATGTGAATTGAATGAATATCGATAGTTCGCAATATCTGTTTCTAGTGTTCTCCAAGAGTCCATTAGATATCCAAGGTCCAGGGAGGTAAAGCAACTGTCCAAAGTCAAACACCTTGTGGTTTGGCTCAGATTAGAACTCAGCAATTCTGACTCCCAGTCCAGTGACTTTTCCACTGTGCCACTCTACCTGTAAGGTCATCAAAGGGCCCAGAGAGTGTGGCAGACACAGTTGTTTTGGTTTACCCGATACCCATTCCCAACCTCCTTCTCCATTGCCAGCATCTACTATAGAGGTTTGGAAAATCTAAGTACTTGCTTTCTCAGCTTCCCTTGTATCTAGGTGTGGCTTTGTGACCAAGTCCTGGATAAAGAGTCCTAAGTGGAAATCCACTGGGGGATTTTTGGGAGAGCTTTGTTCTTCCTGATAGAAGAGACAGATGTAGCTGACACTCCCTTTCTCGCTTCTTCCTAACTTGAATGCAGATGTGATGGCTGGAGATGAAGCAATTACTATGTGACCATGAGGGACAGGACAGAGAATCATAGATAGGCTGACCCAACTTCTAGTTCCTTGTTATTTGAGAAATTTAAAGCTATATTTCTGTAAGCCACTGTTGGTCTTCTGTTTCCTGCCGCTGAAAGCACTCCTAAGTCATACAAATAGGTAACATTTTGAGTTCTGTAATAAAAGCCTATTGTTCATCAACCCAGCATCCATTTCCCTGTCTTCGATATCAGCATCATAGTTTTCCCAGGGATCTGTATTTCTCCACTCTCAATCATGGTTTTGGTGGAGCTGACTCTACCTCTTGCTGTACCCCAGGAGGGATCTGCAACCCGGCCTTAGTCAGAACTTAGCTCCCTCCTGCCTCCCCAGCCTTAGGGACAGATAGATTGAGGGATCACGTGTACCTCGGGGATGGCCAGTGGCACACAATCTAGGACCTTTGTGGTGACCCTTGGAAACAGTCTCTTTCCTTTGGCATGAGGCTGGGAAGATGTGAGCCTGAGCGGCTGGCTGGTGGAAGGAAAAGCAGAGTGGAGAGATGGGGACTGAGCCTAGAGACATGACTGAGCCTCAGACCCTGCCCTAACTGGACTTTTCAGTTACTTGAACTTATAATGTCTGGCTGAAGTCAGAGCTTAAGCCAGTTTTTGTCACAACCATAAAAGAGTCTCTTTCATTTCAGGAGTCTAGACTTGGAGATTAGGAGGGGCCAGGTAGGACCGGGCTCAGTGGCTCATGCCTGTAATCCCAGCACTTTGGGAGGCCGAGGCGGGTGGATCACCTGAGGTCAGGAGTTTGAGACCAGCCTGGCCAACATGGTGAAACCCCATATCTACTAAAAAATACAAAAATTAGCCAGGCATGGCGGTGGGTGCCTGTAATCCCAGCTACTCGGGAGGCTGAGGCAGGAGAATCGCTTGAACCTGGGAGGCGGAGGTTGCAGTGAGCCAAGATCGTGCCATTGCACTCCAGCTTGGGCGACAGAGCAAGACTCTGTCTCAAAAAAAAAAAAAAAAAAAAAAAGGATATGGGGTGCCAGAAAGCTTTAAATAAAAGTTCTGAGCACAGAGCAGGGGCTCAAAACCTTGTCAAGTGAATCCTGTGTTTTGCAGAATTCTGCGGATGACTTGCTTATAAAAAGGACACCAGAACCCAATCCTCTTTCCACCCCGCCACTGCCTTGGTTCCCCTGTAACATCTTGCTCAGATATTGATTAGAGGCCTCAGGTCAGGCATTGCCATTGCCTGTATGTATATCTGTCTGAGAAGCAGTGAACCAGCTCCCTGGCCTAATCTCCACAGGAGGTGTTTTGTTTGTTTGTTTATTTATTTATTTTTGAGACAGAGTCTCCCTCTGTTGCCCAGGCTGGAGTGCAATGGTGCCATCTCGGCTCACTGCAACCTCTGCCTCCCAGGTTCAAGCAATTCTCCTGCCTCAGCTTCCGGAGTAGCTGGGATTAGAGGCGCCTGCCACCACGCCCATATTTTTAGTAGAGACGGGTTTTTTTTTTTGTATTATTTTGTATTTATTTGTATTTTTAGTAGAGACAGGGTTTCACCATGTTGGCCAGGCTTGTCTTGAACTCCTGACCTCAGGCAGTCCGCCTGCCTCGGCCTCCCAAAGTGCTGGGATTACAAGCATGAGCCATCATGCCAGGCTGGAGGTGTTTTTTTTTTCTGCTCATCCTCTGCCTTTATGCCCCTGAGATTACTTTACAAACCATCCTATATGTAATCCTATGTGTAAGAGTTGTTTCTTGGGTGGGAGGGCTTCTTTTCTCTAATTCTAGGCCTGCCGTTTTTCTCTGTGAGTGGACCTGATCTCCTTTTGCTTTGGCTCCCAGAGTTCCCTATTCGCTTCTCCTTGTCCCCTGAGTCCTGCTCTCCCTCCTCTGGATAACCCCTTCCAGCCCTTCACTTCTCCCTCCTGTTATTTGCTGGAATGGCTAATTGGCTGACCCCCCCACCCAGTCCCCATGGGAGACCCCCTCCAGCACCAGAAGAGGCAGACTAACATTTTCTTTGGTAGCAGAATGTAAAATTGTAAAATGTGAAAGATAGGAGAGAAACATCATTAACTGTTCTGTTATTTATTAACATTTTAATTTATAGAATTATAGACTTAACAGCAAAAATTCAAACACTGAGGGTCATCGGTGAAAATAAACATTTCTGTCTCTATCGCTTGATACTTCCAGCTCACTCCCTGGATGTAATTGTTGTCATGGTTTTTTTTGTGTATTCATAGAGAAATTTTCTATGCCTAAATAGACACATGCACATGTGTGTGCACACTGCATGTGCATAGAACAAATACTGAGTGCCTACAATGTGCCAGGCCCCGTTTTGGTTCCTCAAAATGAACCAGCATTCTACTGTTGGGAGATAGACAATAAGTAAATAAATGAATGTATAATATATCAGGTGTTGATACGTGTTATAAAAACAATCAAGTGGGGTATAGGGCTAGAGAATGATAGTGTGTGGGGGTGGATCTGTGGGTGGTATTTGAGGGAAGACAAGAGAAAGTGAGGGAGTGAGCTGTTCAAATAGCTGGAGAAGGATGCTTCAGGCAGAATGAATAAATGGTAAGTGCAAAAGCCTCGGGGCAGGATGATTTGTGCCTTGGATCAGCAGGTGGGCAGGAGGCCAGCATGGCTGGGGCAGAGAGCACTGGGGAAGTGTTAGGAGACCCAGGGCCTTCCAAGCTGGCCATGTGAAGGACTTTGACTTTATTTCTATTGAGACAGAAAAGAACTTAGGGTTCTGAGAGGTGTGATCTCACTCACATTTTACCAAGATTTCTTGGGCTGTCAAGTGAGGAATAGAGCCCAGTGGGCAAGGTGAGAACAGGGAGACTAGGGAGTGTCTGTGGGCATTAGAGCACACATACTGGTGTCTGGTGTCAGGGAGGTGGGGTTGAATGCCGGGTTTGCTAGTTGATTAGAAAAGAGAGTTATTGAGGATGCTGTTGGGATTTTAGCCTGAGCAGCTAGAAGAAAGTCATTGCAATTTGCCGGGAGGGGGAAGGCTGAGGAAGAAGCAGGTTTGGGGAGGGTAGTTCATAGAGTTTGTACATAGACATGTTAAGCTTGAATGCCTATTAGACAGACATACAAGTGTAGCTGTCAGGAGAGTTCAGGGAAGAGGTCTGGATGAGATGGGCATTGATAGTCATGGTGGATGGTAAACAAGGCATGTGATATGGTTAGGCTTTGTGTCCCCACCCAAATCTCATCTTGAATTATAATCCCCATAATCCCCACGTGTCAAAGGAGAGACCAGGTGGAGGTAAATGGTTTACGCCATGCTGTTCTCATGATAGTGAGTGAATTCTCATGAGATCTCATGGTTTTATAAGGGGCTCTTCCCCCTTCACTCAGCACTTCTCCTTCCTGCTGCCACGTGAAGGAGGTGACTTGCTTCCCCTTCCCCTTCTGCCATGATTGTAAGTTTCCTGAGGCCTCCCAAGCCACGTTGAGCTATAAATCAATTAAACTTCTTTCCTTTATAAATTACCCAGTTTGGGGTAGTTCTTTATAGCAGTGTGAAAACATGCTAATACAGAATGGCACTCGGCAGCACTTCCCACAAAGAGGAGGAATCTACTTTCCCATACCTTCACTCTGAGCTGGGTTTGTGACTTGCTTTAACCAATAGAATGCAACAGGAGTGATGTATGAATTCTGAGCCTTAAGCTTCAGGAGTCTTTCCTAGCTTCTGCTTTTGCGCTGTTGGAATCCAGTGACTCCTAAATGAAGAAGCTGATGAGAGCCATGTGGCCCACTCACTCTGTTACCTCAGCTAACAGCCTGCCAACCCAGACCTGTGAGTGAGGTCATCCTAGATCACCCAGTGGCCATAGATTGACCAGCTGAGATTAGTTGAATCAGCCCACACCAGATGAAGAACCTAGTCAAGCCACAGAACTATGAACCAAAGAAGCGATTGCTGTTTCAGGCCACTAAGTTTTGGGGTAGTTTGATATGGAGCAGAAACTGACTTATGCAAAAACCACTGGCCTATAAAGGATGTAGATTAGTACAAGCATGGAGCACAGCATGGAGACTTCTCAAAGAACTCAACATAGAGCTACCATTTAATCCTGCAGTCCCACTACTTGGTATCTACCCAAAGGAAAAGAAATCAGTATATAAAAAAGATACCTGCACTCATATGTGTATTGCAGCGCTATTCACTATAGCGAAGATATGGAATTAACCTAAGCGTCTGTCACTGGAGGATTGGATGAAGAAAATGTAATGTTCATACACAATGGAATACTATTCAGGCATAAAAAAGAATAAAATTATATCTTTTGCAGGAACATGGATGGAACTAGAGCTCATTATCTAAGTGGAGTCAGGCACAGTTAGACAAATATTGCATTTATCACTCATAAGTGGGAGTTAAAAGATATGTACACATAGACATAGCAAGTGGAATGATAGACAATGGAGATTTGAAAGGATGAGGGGGTAAGCGGGGGATAGATGATGAGAAAATTACTTAATGGGTGCAATGTACATTACTTGAAGGATGGATACCCTAAAAGCCTTGATGATCACAATACAATCTATGCATGTAACAAAATGGCACTTGTACCTCATACATTTATACAAAAGGTTGTTTTTATGAAGATATCATTTTCATTTTTTTCTTAAGTGAGATCATAATACTGTTCTGCAACTTGATATTTCTATTTAATGACATATCTAATGGTAATTTCTCATGAGGCACATTACAATCTCTTATTTTTAACAGCCAGATGAATATATTACAATAGACTCAACCAGTGTCCTATTTAGATGGTTTCTAGTTTTTGCTATTATAAAGCCTTGGTGAACATTCTTATATACAGTGTTTATATACATGTGTATTTATTGGATAAATTCTTGCAAATACAATTAGGTCAAGAGATTTGCATTTAGAATATTAATAGTTGATGCCAAACTGTCTTCAAAAATGATTTACTAATTCACACTTTCTTATATATGAGAGTGCCTGTTTCATCAATTCTTCACCAACATTTTAAATATTTGCCAATCTGAAGGGTTAAAAATATATTTCATTACTAACTTACTTACGTTTTTAATTATGAGTGAGGTTGAGAATATTTTCATATGTTTAGTATCCATTTCTATGTTTTTCCTGTGAATCTCTTATTTTTGCTTTTTGCCCATTTTCTATTGCTTGGTTAGCCTTTTTTTTTTTTTTTTTTTCAGATGGAGTCTTGCTCTGTCGCGCAGGCTGGAGTGCAGTGGCATGATCTTGGCTCACTGCAAGCTCCGCCTTCTGGGTTTATGCCATTCTCCTGCCTCAGCCTCCCTAGTAGCTGAGACTACAGGCACCCACCACCACGCCCGGCTAATTTTTTGTATTTTTAGTAGAGACGGGGTTTCACCATGTTAGCCAGGATGGTCTCGATCTCCTGACCTCGTGATCCACCCAACTTGGCCTCTGGGTTAGCCTTTTAAGAAATTGAACTATAAAAGGTGGATGGATATTAAAGAAATATTACTGTAGTTCAAAACACTTTACAGATATGGGCTTTTAAACTTGAGTTCTAGAGGAGCTTGAAAAGCAATAAAGATTTCCTACACTCAAAGTGTTTTATTCGCACAAACTATACGCACATCATCTAATATAATCTTCATGGCAATCTTCTGAGGCAGGTGGTCATCCCCATTTAATGGATGAGGAAAGTGAGATTCAGATAGACAAAGTAACTTTATGCGGGTACAAATTTTTGAAAGATTTTGAAAAGGGCCCATAAAGATTACAGGGTATTTTGTCTAGCACATTCTTTCAGAATATCTGCATCTTTATTATCTTTGAGCTATTTTTCAACTTCAATGAGTAGAGAATGGTTAGAAATGAAAGTGATTCTTGTCACTAGAAATGCAAATAAGTCATGCTTGGTGGAGATGAAATTGATTGTTTCCCTATGGCTATTGACTCTTGTTTTTCTTTATTTGTAATTCATTTCAGCATTCCTGATTGCCTGTATGCTTGTCTGTTCCTTTAATATGTGTGCATGTTCACCTTTGAGCTGGTTATGACATCTTAGCAGTTCTCTCATTAATTAATGAGCTAAATAAAACTTGGGCATTTGTTCATTTTCTATTTTCCTTAGTTCATTTTGTGCTGCTATTACAGCATACCACAGCTTGGGTAATTAATATATGAAAAGAAATTTATTGGCTCATGGTTCTGGAGGCTGGGAAGTCCAAGAACAAGGGACTGGCATCTGGTGAGGGCCTTCTTGCTGTCAAGGTGTGTCATACCATGGTGGAAGGAAAATGGTGGAGGAGTGGAGGAGAGAAGGGGAGAGAAGGTGCCGGGGGTTGGGGGGTGGAGAGAGAGAGATTCTGAACTTATCCTTTTATAAGGAACACATTCTGGTAATAACAACATTAATCCATTCATAAGGACAGAGACTCATGGCCTAATCACCTCTTAAAAGTTCTACCTCTTAACACTGTTACAACGGTGATTAGGTTTCTGACACACATTTTTTGGGGGACACATTCAAACCATAGCAATATTTTTTTATTTTACCTTTCTAAAATAGTTATCCTTCATCTTCTCTCAAGTCTGTAGTCCTCACAGCTAGAATATGAAGCTGTCAAGATCTGACTCAGATATGTCTGACAGAGATTCTTTATTATTATTATTTTTTATGCCCCAGAGCTCTTTGAAAAGCTGATGAAAGCAATGAACCCTTTCCCTAGAAAAAATAAACACACAGATACACACAATTTTGCATAGTCTCTTGGGAGCTCCTTGACTTCCTGGAGACTGGTTTAAGAACTCCTGGAATAGAGCTTGAGATCAGAATGGATGCTCAAGCTCAGAAGTAGAAAGAGGTAGAAGGTGTATTTGGGAAAATGAGTTTTTCTTAATATGGCTTGAGTGTCCACCATGTGCCAAAATGTATTAACTCATTTAATTGTCACAGAAACTCTAAGAGGCAAGAAATTGTTGTTATCCAGGGAACAGGTACAGAGAGGGGACATGCCACTTGCCCAAGGTCACACACCTGGCAAGAGTTCTAAAGTGATTCCTTTATCCCACACACATAAGGTAAAGGGAATAAAAATAGTTATTGGGGAGAAAATTCCTGGGGGGAAAGAAGTGGCCTCACAAAATCAATGTTTACCTCAGTAGTGAAGCTGAGACATCTGATCATCTGAATCTCTATGGTTGAGAAAATCCTGTTTCAAGAGGAGCCTGGGGAAGGAGTATGTTGCTGAGAAAGGGGAGTGGGACCCCAGAGCAGAGGGGACCTGCATCTTTTCCATTCCTCTTACAAGTTTGGAGATCTGCAAGTCTCATCCATGACCTTCCTATCACCAGGGCATGAGAAATGGCTGTAGGAGGTCTAGAATGAATGAGACCTGCTGCCTGGCCCAGGGCTCCCATGGCCCTAGAAGTGTGTGGGATAGTTGTCAGCTTTTCCTCTTGCTCATGAGAAAGAGAGGAAGCCAGCGAGGATTCACAACTGTGGTGAGAGGCTACAGCGGAGGATGTGGAGTGAACCCCCAATAGGGAGTTGAATGGGGTGATACATCTCTAGGGCAGAGGGGTCATGCCCAAGGCCAGGCTAGATAAGACACTAGTAGGAGACTGAGAAAGCTGGGAAGCAAACATCCCCTCTGGGAGGCTGGAGGTGGCATTTGCATAAACACTTCTCCAACCCTGCCCCTCAGCCTAGCAAAGACCCCTGTGGGAAGAAGGGGAACAGAGGGCAACGATCTCAAGTGACTGCCTTTAAACCTGAAGTGCCTGAGGCATCAGTAACCTAGAAGTTACCAGAATACATTTCCTGCAAACAACATAGAAAGTAAATCCAGTTATAGCAAAATGATAGAAATTTTATTTTGCACATTTGAGTGTAGGGTCCTAAAATGGGTACCTGCTACCCAAGTGATGAGCTACTGCCTTTGTTTGTTAACTGCTCTTTCCTCCCTCAGCCTCTAGCCTTCTCCTTTCATCCAGCGGTGCTAGAGACCTGGTGTTGATATCCACATTCATAGGCTCTGAGTGATCTGGCATTTTTAAGATGGCAAAGCACTTTTGCATCCTGTGGGCTGTTGTCTGTAGTTCTGGCATATTGCATGCCTGAAGGCAGAGCTAGCACTGCTACCTCCAATACAGATGAGAAAACTGAGACCCAGAGAGATTAATGGTAAGGTTACACAGCAAATTAGAAGGAGTGTAGGACTAAGACCTAGGCTTCCCAACTCCCGGTCCAACTCCTGGGTGGGTCAGGGGTGCAGGTAGATTGCAGAGGATCTGGGATTTGGGGAAGATTCCTGGAATTTAGGCTTGTGCAAGAGGTCATTCCAGGCTTCCCAGCTTAGGGGAGCAGGCCCTGTCCTCCACCTGCAAGGACAAGAATCAGAGACATCTGTGCAGAAGGGATGCTCAGCGGATGACCTCCCTGAGAACAGGAACTACTCATCCTGGGCTGGCATCCAAAGCAGCCACTTTTGCAGTGGAATCTTGGAATAACAATATCACTCCACACTGGGCCTTGCCCTCACTTTGCAAAATACTCTCATGTCCTCTCAGAGCCTCCTGAATGCTCTTTGAGGCAGGCCTGGCTACCTTCATTTTATGGATAGGAAAACTGAGGCTCAGACAGAACATGTGGTTTGCCCAGCGTCTTTGCATGGAAATAGGGAGTTGAATGAAAGCTCAGGCTTTCGAGGACAGAGTGAGGCTAGTCTTCCAGCTGGTCCCTTTTCATATATCCTGGAAAGATAAACTGAATGAAAGGAGCTTTCCGTCCTACTTTTCATTTGTGCCAGAAATGACAACATCCCTTTCCCATCCAGCAAGATAACTAAAGACACTAAATCCTGTTTAGAATTTAAAAAACTTTCTACATTTTTCTCTCACTCTGAGATGCTCACAGTCATAAAGAATGTGTTAGACTTGGGCCAACAGCAAGGTTGTTGAGCAAGTGTTCTGCTTTCAGAGGTGGGCCAGCACCACCTTTTGACAAACGTGGACAGAACCCAAATTGTTTATCTCTGTATCCCGTTCTGTTTATGGAGTCCTCAGTAGGTACTCATGTGTCACGGATGAATGCATGCATGAACAAACAACCTCTCCTTGGCCTCCTCTGTGCCTCAGTGCCCACCATGGAAGCGTCTTCAGAAATCATCTTATCCAGCTGGCTCCTCTTACAGATGAGGTCCAGAGAGGGTGAGTGACCGGCTGGAGGTCACACAGCAAGTTAGAGGAAACACAGGTGCTGGAGGATTACCTCCCTATTTCAGAGCTCGGCCTGAGATCTCATCCAGCCTGTCTTCTGAACCAGGAGAGCAGCTTTAGCCAGGAGAGAAGAGAGCTGTCCTTTATTGTTTAGTTTGCTTTTGAGTCTGGTGCAGCCTTCCAACTGGCATGTTCAGGGTAGCTTCCTGGGCTGTGGGCCATTTTTGGATTGTGAAATCGATTTCCCCAGAGGCCCAGGGCACATCTGCTACCTGCCTTCACCTGGAGAGGAAAGTGGCTCATTTGGGGAGAGCATGTCCAATCTCTATGTTGAAGTAGCACAGATGCTGCCCCATTTGGGGTGTGGAGGTGGAAGGATGCATAGCACAGGGATGCAAGTTTGATGGATGGGAAGACCTGGGACAGGCTGTGTTTCCCATGGGTGCGCTGGGAGGAGGGTGATCCAGGCAGGGAACCAGGCAGAGGCCAGCTGATCTTGAGCCGATGGACAACAGCTCGTGGGAGGAGCCAGCCTGCGCAGAGCAGTGGATGTCCACGTGGGCCCCTGTCACAAGGAGAGGTCAGGAGAGAGAAGTGAGTCCTAAGCTGTCTCTGCAGCTTCTCAGCGTTTCCCTCCATGGCTTGGGCAGCTAAGAGTGGGTAGTGTGATCCACTTGTTCTGGTTTGCTCAGGACCTTCTGGGTTTAGCTCTGAAAGTCCTGTGTGGACCCATGCAAACCTGGATGGTTGGTTACTGTAGGTGGGGAGAAGTGCATGGTCTGGGGATTTAAAACCTGGCTTGAGTCCTGGTACTTACAATTGTTTTGACATGGAAAAGTCACTTTGCCTCTCAGAGCCCAGCTTCTACATTTGCCAAGAATGAATAAATGAGAAATCTCATCTCATGGCATCACTGTGGGTATGTAAAAACCTTTAACTCTAGGGCAGGGAAGTATTGTCTATTTTGTTTACTGCTCTATCCCGTGTTTAGCACCTGGTGCCCACTCAAAAATACGTGCTGTCTCCATGAATGGCTCCCTAAATACTTAGGGAGCACTTCCTAGGTGCTAAGCATCCTCTACATCTCAGTTATTTCATCCTCATCAAAAAACTTTATTACATTCTCTGAGGGATAAGGTGACTCTTCCAAGCCACTCCTCAGGCAATTCAGAGCTGGGATTCGAACTCAGGCAGTCTGACTCCAGAGCCCGTGTGTCCAACATCTGTGTACTGCACTTCCCTCTGTGATCCTGTTTTGTAAACTGAGAAGTTTTGCACAGGAAGGACAGGCACCATGATGTTCACTAAGGGAGGAGACATGAGGACAGACAGGCAGCCACTTGTCCCAGGCCCCACAGTCTTCCAGATTTCTCCTTGCCCCATGCTGTTTCTAATATAATTTTCCTTGCACTTTTTCCTGTAGACAGAGCCCCCGAGGTGCTTCTTCACATCTGGGTCTGACTGGGATATTTCCAGACAATGGCTCCCTCCACCCTACCTTGAGGCCTCAGCCACTTACAGCCACATCCAGATTTGTGGGCAGGGCCACACTGGCTTCACTCAGCTGCTGTGGAGCCCCCAGGTTGCCAATCTTCTCCTGCTTCCGCCACTTGGCTCGCTGATTCTGGAACCAGATCTGTAATCAGGGAGAAAGGACGGGGATAAGCAAGAGTTTTCCTCCATCTAATACCACTTCCCCCAAATTCATAATAACTACACCTTCCAAGGGACTGTACTTTATAGTTTGTAAAGCTCTGTGGCATCCAGGATGTCTTTGGATCTGGAGGTCAGCTTTCTGAGAGGGAACCGGGGTTTCCACCTTCAATGCCTACAGGGCCAGGGGGCCATGCATGAGTGAAGCAGCTGGTGCTGCCCAATTGGGATTGGCGGGGTCTGTGGTGAATAGAGCCAAAATGGGGCAGCTTCTCAGCTCCCGTCAACAGTCACCACGTGGAAATGTGAGTCCGGTGTTGCAGGTTCATGCAATCTCCAAAGTGGAATATTGATTTATATGTGAAAGCTTCTGAGTTTTAAACTACTGTGCAGACCAAATGGAAGTCATGTGTGGGTCATCAGTGGGCCACCCCTTTTCAACCCCTGGGGCCTCTTGGCCGGCTGAATATTGGCAGCTCCCTGCATTCCTGAGCAGGTGCTGATGGTCCCTGACTTGTGGCCATTTATCCTTGGTAATTCTGCATAGGCAGGTGTTGAATTCTGGGCTTTGTGGCTGATACAGGGGCTTCCCATTTAGCTAGTGCCTGATTCTAGATGGGAAGAAAAAGGAGAGAAGTCTTAGACATGAGTGGTCCCCAGCCAGAAGGAAAGGATAGAATAAAGAACAGAATGTTGGCCTGATTTTGAATTAGAATGAGTCCATCACATTTGTGGAAAGAAAAAAAGGAGAGCAACTTAGAGAACTATTTTAGAGAGAATGCTAACGGTGCCACAGTGAGATCTGGTGGAACGTCGTGTGCTAGGGTGGCACTTGCAAAGCTGGGTGCATGTGAAGAGGGCAGGAAATACCTCTAGTGAGTGACAATGGGCTACTGTATTTCTAATCCTGCATGAAGCAATAAACTGCGGTGAAGAGATCACAGATGAGAGATTAGCCTGTTGGTGCTTAAACCAGGTCTCCGACCAAGACCACGAATTCAAGACCTTTTCCACTTCTCTACACTGCCTCCAAAGGGATACCCATGTGTTGTAGATCAGGGGTTGACAAACTGCGGCCTACAGGCTAAATCTGGCCTTTCACCTGTTTTTGAATGGTTCATGAACTAAGAATCGTTTTCACATTTTTAAATGGCTAGAAAAAAAAAGAAGGGTAGTATTTTATGACACAGGCAAATTACACAACATTCAAATTTCATGTTCATAAATAAAGTGTGTTTACATATTTTCTGAGGCTGCTTTTGTGCTACCTTGGCCTGGTTGAACAGTTGCTCTGACACTGACGATATACCCTGCAAAGCCTAATATCATTACCATCTGGCTCTTTGCAGAAAGGTTGTTGACCCCTGATCTAGATGGCCAATACTTTGTGAATGAGGCTGCATTGTGAACGACGTTTGGGAACTGTCGCCAAGCGGGGAGGAAGGGTATGGAGCAGATCCATGGTGATCACTGATGCCACTTTACTCCCTTTCCATTCCCGGAGGAGAGAAACCATTTTGGAGCTATAGTGACCTCATTTCATGGAAAATAATATTTGGCCAAAATGACTGTACTCACAGGATAAAGCCAACAGAAACTTTTAGATGGGGCAACCCGAAAAGTCCCTGGATATATTGTGTCTCACACATGGTCCCAAGGGCATGGAGGCTGGGGGCTGAGGTAGGGATGGCTGTACCTGCACCCGAGCTTCTGGGAGGTTGATCCTGGCTGCCAGCTGGCTGCGGATGTGAACGTCTGGGTAGTGGGTAAAGTGGAAGATCTTCTCCAGCTCATGCAGCTGCTCAGTGGTGAAGGTGGTACGAACCCTCCGCTTGCTCTTCCTTCCTTCTGCATGGGAGAGGGTCCAAGTTGTGTCAGTGGCCTTGGTGTCAGCACCTAGGTGGGGTTTTTGTGTTGCCTTGTCCTACCCTTCCACCCCACTGCTGCTCCCGAGCCTTGGCCCCTGGCTTCTTGAGCTTGGAGCTTCACAGTATTCTCTTTCCTAAAATCCTCTGCCTCTAGACCGACCCTCACCCACCATGGACATTGAGGCCAAGTTAACCATCTAGAAAATCTTCTCTGATTGTGCCTTTCTGCTGCTACATTGCCTTCAATGACTTCCTTTTGTCTACAGCAGGAGATGGCAAACTATGGCTACCAGGCCAAATCTGGCCCACTGTCTGTCTTTAAATAAAGTTTTATTAGAACACAGCTTCTCCCTTTGGTTTACGTATTGTCTCTGACAGTTTTTGCACTTTAACAGCAGAGTTGAATCATTGCAACAGAGACTGTGTGGCCTGCAAAGACTAAAGTAATTACCAGCTGGTTCTTCATAGAAAAAGTGTGTCAGTCTTGGTCTGCAAAGTAAAGGCTGAGCTCGATAGCAGTCAAAGCTGTTGACAGCCTGTCTCCAACTCACCTGTCCAGCCTCCATTCTACCCAGGGCTGGCTACATCATTTGTGGGGCCCAGTGCAAGATGAAAATGTGGGGCCTATTGCTCAAAAAGCAGAAAGATAGCTTTTTATTTTTTCCATAGTCTCTTAAATTGTCATAGTGGGTTTTTATTTGCTATTTCATGTCATGCATCCCTCAAAGAGCATAAGCATACTCACAGGGTGAGATTAGGTCTCGCAGGGACCTGGGGACCCACCCTGAGACTTAGAGTCATGGATACCCCATGAAGAAACTTGGTTCCACTCTGCAACTCAGTGCTTGACCTCAACCCTCCATGAACCCCTGCCCAGTTCCCTTCCCCACCAAGATGGAGGGAGCAGTAGTTGCTGGGTAGCAGCAGGGAAACAGTTGACCAAGACCATCCTAGAGAAGCTGGGAGGTTATGAGAAGGCATTGATAGCCTCTGGTGCATGCATCACTGTTCCACTGGATTCCACTAATCAGAGATTCAAACATGCAATTACTAAGATTTCAAGATGGTGACAATATGCATTCAATCCCACTCTCAGGGCCTCCTTCTAAGCACAGGGTCCTGAGCATCTGCATTGGCCATACACACACCCATGAAGCCAGCCCTGCCTCCAATACTTTGTTGACCCACACACCTTGCTCATTCAAGTTGGGCTGCTTACCATATCCATAACACATCACGTGTGTGCTTATCACTTTGTTTTTTCTAAGACAATCACCTCGGTCTGGGATCACCTCTTCTCTCTTGTCTGCAATTCTAACATCTGCTGATTCTTCAGCATCTGCATTCATTCTTATAATCTCCAAAAATTATTTCCTAATCTTTCTAGCCCTGGGTAATCTTTCTTACTGGCAATATCTTCATTCCACTTGCTAGCTTTATCATTCATTCATCTACCTTTTTGTTAAGCACAAACCCCTTTCTGCCAGGCACAACACTAGGCAGTGCGTTGCAGAAAAGCTGAAGGCTCGGTCCTTGATTGGAAGCACTCATCATATGGTGAGATAAGGGGTACAGATAGGCTTGCACATGACCTAGAATACATGGTGGTCACTGTGCTAACAGAGGGAGGTGGACACCTGCTGGGATTTATCTGTCCAGAAGTGCCTCTTTCCTGGGAACTGCCCTGCCCTCCTTTTGAAAACTGTTCTTCACATACACCAACCAGGTAGTTGTAGTGGGAACTGGTTCAAGTGTGGGGAAACTGAACTGGAACTATTGGAATTCATCCTGGACATTTTTCTTTATACAACTAGGAAAGAGAATCAAACCCCTCTAGTGGTACAGTGGTGGTGGATGTGATTAGTAGGATGAGCTCCATCAACTACCATCTCTCTTGTCATGCTGCTGAAGTTGTTTGCAGGGAGGTGTAGAGCTAATTATGGGATATATTTTGGAGAGAGGCTGTCAGGTGAGATTGATGGATTATCTTTTGGCTGAGATAAACCAGGGACAACAATTTGGTTTTGGCTTGAGCAAAAGATGTGTGTGTGTGTGTGTGTTCATGTGTTTGTATTATGGGGAAATCAGGTGTTCATCTTGGACATGTTAAATGTGTGATGCCTATTGGCTAGCTAAAGGAAGCTATGGAATAGGAAGATGCATTGATAAGTTTGGAGCTCAAAGGGGAACTGAGGACTGAGGTTCAAATTAAGGACCTATCAGCATCTATTTAGCCTTTGTAGTCATGGGAATGGGTATCACATAGGCAGAAAGTGTAGGTGGGGAAGAGGACAGGACCCAGGAGCAAGTTTGCGGTGCCTTCACCATGTAGAGGTTCAGCAGTAGGGAAGGCAACAAAGAGACCGAGAAGGGGAGGCCTCTGAAGGAGGAGGAAAGTGAGGACTGAAAGAAGGCACAGTCAGCTGGGTCCATGCTGCAGAGAGACCAATTATGATAAGGACAGAAAAGTGGTCCTTGAACCTGGCCACACAATGGAGAGTAAGGAAGATTGCCCCATTGGCAGAATGGGAGACTCAACCAGCATTGCCTGTAGCTCCTGGTTGGAGCCAGGTAACAGAGGACATTGGAGGAAGGACCAAACCCGGTGGCAGTGGGTTTGTTTACCTGACCATGGACTTCTGAGGACAGAATTAAAATCCTTGTCTTAATTGGACTGCAGATTGTCCCTGTGTTGTGATTTTAGGGATTGTAGAAAAGGCACAAACCCTCTCCCCAGATCACCTTCACTTTTGGGGCCCAGTGGAATTCCTACCATTCTAGCTAACACCTTGCCTCTCCTGATTTTTTCCACATTCCTTGTAAGAAAAACCGCTCTTGGGAAATAATTAAGAACCGAGGTACTTCTTGTCCCAGGGTCACTTACACTCATGCTCAGAGAACTCTAAGCCTCCCAGGGAAGGGAGCCTCGTATGTCTGCTGTCATCCATCTCTAGGCTGTGAGCCCCTGGAGGGTGGGGACTGTATCTGAGTAGGGACTGTAACTGACTGTATCTGAGACCAGCTGAGGAACTGGCTCCCCGAGAGAGCTTAACAAATATATGTCTTAAATGGATAAAAGTAGAATTCAGGCTCTGCTCTCAATCCTGTTGGACAGAAAAGACTTCCACAGGATTCGTCTAAAACTTTGTACAATGTCAGATGTCACACATCAGAAAGGATGACTGACGTGAGCTGAAGCTGCTACAAAGGAGGGGTGGGAGTCTGAGCTCCAGCTGAGGTCTTCTGACTCCCACTCAGCCCACTTTCTTTTTACCCCAAATAAGAGAGGTAAAGCCATCACATACTAAGAATTGGAGTAGACACTCAGTGAAAAATAGATTTCACTTCTGAGGGTTTAACACTTGAAGAAATCAACTAACTTGTTTTCTTTCTTGGTGCTTATGATCGATCCTGCTGTCATTGGATAGTAGAAAATCCAGTGAGCTGGACATCAGAAAATCCAAGCTGTGTTCCTGGTTCCACTATGCAACTTGTGCCACATTCTGGATTCATTATCTGGGCCTCAGTCTCCCCATCAGTAGAATGGAGGGAGAGAGAGGCATTGAATGATCAGGTCACTAAGGCAAAATCCACCCTGACATTTGTAATCCTCCGTCTCTGGGATGGAGGATGAATGGCTCAAAAGCACTCACCGCAGGCTTGCCTGCAGAACGCGTTTACTTGGTGAAAGGGACAGGGCTAGTGAGATTTCTCTCTGGGAAGCCACCAGGCCCGGTTGCCTCAGTTGTAGAAATGGGATTTCAAGTTTGCTTTTGCTTTCACTCCCTTCTACTAGCCCTCATTTTTGTTGTTAATCCATTTTTATCCTTTCAAAGTACTTTCGCTCACTATTGTGGATTTTTGGAAGCTTCTTGGGAGTCGCAGGCAGTGAGGCTTTGAACATTACTCCCCACTAGAGTGAGTTATTGGCCTGTGACCCACCTCTGTAGGAGAGCCTCATCTCTGCCTCTCCTTCTCTACCCCCTTCCCTCCCTAAGTCCACACTGCCTTTTTAACTTCATGGGTTTTTAAAAAAAGATATTTATTCTATGTTTAGAGCTGGTGTTGTGTTTAAGGGATATAGCTGAAGTCAGTCAGAATTGATGTAGAGAGAAATGGCAGGTGTTAATTCATTCCAAGAGCTCAGTGAATGTCATCTCTGTAACCAGCACCTAATAGGCACTGAGGGCCAGTCTGCAGGAGTACAAAATGAACAAGCCATGCTTGATAGTATTGGATTTACTCCTTCATTCATTCAGTCAGTCAGCATATTAGATGATAGTAAATGATATAGTGCAGTTCTGTAGGAAGCTGCAAAAAAAAAAAAAATTACAAAAGGGAAGATTCCAGGTTGACCTGGAAAACTGAGGTGTCAAGGACAGCAGGGAGTTGAGGTCTTCATGGGACTATAGAACTGTGGGAGAGAATGTGGGGTGTGGAACCAGAATACAGGAAATGAAATAATATGGAGAACAGAGGAGTAGAAACAGAAGACGGGTCATAACGAAAATAAGCCGTCTCCTCCATTTACCCCAGAAGGAAACTCAGGTGAACAAGGATTTATGACTAAGAATAGAATCTATAATAAAATAAATATTTCAAAGCTTCCACTTGTGTAACCAAAGGAGCAGCTTTTAAGACATGATGGCTTTTTCCTGTTCCCAAGAGTACTGGAAGAAGGTAATTTAGAGGTGGGGTGAAGAAGGAAAGGATCTAAACTCTGCTCTGCAAAACAACCTGACTGCTGACTTCATGGGGGAGGGGCTGCCTGCCAAGTCATAGCCTGGTGAGAAAAATATGTTTTCTCATTAGCTTTGAACTACACATTCTCAGGATAAATGTTTGTCCTTGAGAGGTGATGATGATGATGATGATGATGATGATGATGTTGTGCTTGTGTCTCACAGTTTTAGTGGCCTCTCTTGGAATAAGGAGGGGTGCCTAAAATTCATACTGGTGAGGAATTATGACTGGAAAGACCCAATCAGAAGGCCAAGAGCAGTGTTGGGAGAGACAGATAGAATTCAGCCTGGAGTCATGGAAATGAGGTTAGAGCAGTGTCCAAGGGGGCAGCTCAGGAATGATGAAGGTCAGCACTTCAACTTTCCTACAGGAAAAGAGGAGGCTGTGAGGGGTTGCCAGGAAAGCTGATGCTTGGGTTACAGACCACAGAGAGTTACAAATAAGGGAACAAGGTGGGAGAAGGCAGAAAAGCATAATATGGAACAGAGAAGAAGGTAGAATGCAGTTCAGCATGTAGAATTTTGGAAACTCGTTATTAGACAAGAGGCTGGAAAATACAAGCTCATTGATGGCCCTGGCCCATGCATAGGATAGGATTCTCAATCACCAGGAGAAACCAGGGTGTTCTGGGTCCCTGCTAAGAGGGGACACTTCTGAGGCAGCATGGATCATCCTGGAAGGAGAACTGGATCAGGAGTGAGAAAACCCTTGGGTTCCCATCCAGCCCAGCATCTCCCTACCAGGTTCTGGGCAGAGAAGCCGAGAAGCAGGTGGTCAAAGCCCAGCCTACCTAGGGAGTGGGCATGTGGGGACAACAGTGGAGGGGGATGGAGGCAGCAGGGAACTGCCACCCTTTTCAAGTTGCTCCTCTCCCCGTTGTTAATGGTGCAAGCTGTGACTCACACTTTAATAGGTCTTCAAAGAGAATGAATCAGCAGAACTTAATTAAACCTGAGCCATTTAGCACATCGATCATAAGAAATACACAATTTACACAGGTGATTAGGCCACCTAATTATAAACTGATGTTTCTCCTCGCTCAGCACCCTCCCCTGATTGCTTCTTCTCTGGGGTCTGCTAATTGGTCCTGGTTGAGCAGCTAAAGGCCCGGGGGACTTTGCCGCTGGGCAGTCTCTGGAAATGGGCCTCATCCTCGTCTTCTGAAAACAGTGGGTTCACCATGGAGGACACCCAGGGCCCCCTTTGCAGCCCTCCTGTAGGCTGGGGACACCTCCTGACACACGAAGGTGGGGTGCGGGGCAGGAGTCTCCCCATGGCCCACCTGCGCTGGCCTCATTTCGCTAGTCAGGCCACAGACTTTCTTTGGCTCCCTGTGCCCACAGGGAACAAGGCAAGCTCCTTAGCATGGCGTTCAAGGCCTTTCCCATTCCATCTTTCTAGCATCATCTGCTTTCCCTCAGTTGTCATTTCCATAATTTTAGTCCCACCTGACCATTTCCAGATTCCCCAAATCGGCTATGCACTTTTATTTTCCAGGTCCTTGTTCTGCGCTTCCTGAGTCTGGAATTCCTTGTCCTCCTCCTTTGCCTGGTGAACTCCTACTCATCCGTCAAAGCTCAAATCAATCAAATATTTCTTTATGAGGTCTGTTGTGAATCTCCTGGTTGAAACACAATAGGTATTTTTTTTTTTTTAATTTAAGAGTGCGAAATTTCAGCTTACAACAAACTGGCTTCCATATTTGTAAAAAAAAATTTTCTATGAGTCTCTATGAGTCAATCAATCAAAATATCTGTAGTGATTATTACTGGATGGTGAGATGGTAGAATTATAGTCACATTTCTTTTACCTTTTTATCTGTATTTTCTATTTTTCTGTAATACACAGGAACTTCTTGTGTAAATAAATAATGAAATAAAACAGCAAAGTGGAAAGAGATGAGAATAAAGAAATCACTGGAACAATTAGGAGGAGACCCTTGAGAAACTCACCAGAAAGTGAGTGCCACTCCCCGGGGTGACTGGCTTAGCACTCTCTAGGCAGTGTGAAGCTTGCATCTTCCATACCTGTGGTCTCACTTTCATAATATTTTGTATGTATGAATTTTAGCATGTGTACTCCCCCCACCACACACCCACACATACCCACACTCACCCATACTTTTTACTTACGTATTTAAAAAAATTTTTGTTTCTTCCTTTTTTTATTTTAAAGCAACTGTACCCTTTGTTTAAAGGAAATCATAAGGAAACCCTACAAAACAAACAGCAGTAGAGCTCCTTTATTGAAGTGTGTGTGGGGCCCACTCCATCTTCCCTTCATCCAAGGCAGCTCTGGTCATGCATCTCAATGAAAGCCTGAAGTTCCCAAAACATTTTAAAATCTAAGGCTTAAAAAATGCTGATGTGCATATATAAAGGCCAAAGTTCTTGGCTTGACACACCTGACCTTCCGTCTACCTTACCTCTTTCATCTCTTGTGACTATGCTCCATGAATTTTAGACTCCAGCCACTCAATTTTGTTGTTTCTCAAAGGATTATTCCTTTTTATACCTCTTGGGTGCTTCACAGGCTTTCCTTTTCCTGGCATGTCCTGTCCCCTTCTCTGCCTGACTCCATCTCAAAAGCCACTACTTCTCTGAAGGGCTGTCTCTGATGGTGTTATGCAGAGTTCATTATTGCCTCTTCTGTGTTCTAAAGCACTTTGTTAGGTTTGTATATCGTATTTGTATTATGACAATGTGACTAATGACAATGCGTTTAGGTCTGGTGAGATTAAACATGAAGCATGGGCACAGATTATTGGGACAGGGTAGCAGTGGGTTGATTTCATGTGCTATAATATTTCAACATTTCTAACTCCCTTCCTTGCTGGGAAGTTGTGTGCATGTGTGCGTGTGTTGCGTGCATGCATGTGTGTGTGCACGTGTGTGTTTATGCTTCAGACCCTCTCCACTTCCTCTCCAATCTATACTGTGTTGATGCAGGGGAATAATCAGACAACACAAGCTGTGCAGTCAGGGGATGTTTCAAGATGTGACACAGGAAGTGTCCTAGAACTTGTTCCTGTTCAATGGGGAAATCCATGTTTAGTTATCCTTCTTGCCAAGAACTAAGGAGGAATTTAATTGTTCTCTTTACTTAAATACCTACAGAAGGCCGACCAAGGTGGCAAAAGTGCAGAATGCCCAGATTAGAGATCTACAAAGCCACAGGGCTTTGCAAACAGGAGGAATAGACATTTCTGGCCAACAAATTATTAACAACTGCCTCCTTACAAGGAGTGGGGAGGAAACCTCTTTAGCAACACACTACTGATAAAGAAACTTGAGGTTTCCATATATGGAGACTAAAATGATGTACAAAGAGTTCTAAGGGTCCTGAAATAAGGAACCATCATCCCAGCATGGAACAGTGAAGTAGAAGGGGAACAGCAAGATGAAGACTCCAGACAAGGCCCAAGCACACACAGCTGCTCCAGCCACACCCGCTGGTCTCAGTTGACTGGTTTGGAGGTGGACATCTCACTCAAGCTCGGCCAATGGGTGTCCCTCCTCTGGGGCTTTTGAACATGGGATTTTAGAGAGCTTGAGGATGTCACTGGAGGCTGATGTAACTCTTGGAGCTATTGGAAACTATTAGGAGAATGCCAATTAGCAGCAAGGAAGAGGTGAGCTCACATGCAGAGAGAAACAGCTGCAGAGACTTGATGACATTATTGGTTCTGGATCCCATCACGGCTGAAGGTTGCTTATCATTCTGCCCTTCACCTGGCTTAGTCTGGGAAGTGATTTCTTAATTTTCTCCAAGGCAATACATGTCCCTCTCCATTTTAGCTGGCCTAAGATAATTTTTGTCAATTGGAACCAAATAGCTCTCATTAATACTGATCACTGTACACTTTCCTGTCGAAAATTTGAAAATGGTTCTTCATTCCCCTAGGAATACAAAGCAAAAATAAAAATCTCTACCATAGCCTACAAGGCCAGCGTGGGCTGGCTCCTTTCTGGCTCCTAGACCTCAAGTTGTATCCTTGGACATCACCTATTAACAGGCCCTTGTCCATGGGGCTCCCTCCATGTGGAATGCCCTCCCTTCGACCCTACTCAGTCTTCAGATTACAGACCGACCACAGCTTCTCTGGGAAGCATTTTCTGACCTCCGTGGCAGACCAAACTCCCATGGAATAGTCCCTTGGAGTACCAAGTCACCATCTCCCCAGCACTTGCCACAATTGTAATTGTACTTTCATTTGTGATTATGTGATGGTTATTTGTCTCACCTGCTGTCAGATCAGTGGCAGCATTAGATTCTCCTAGGAAAAACCAACTCAGGGATCCCATTGATTCTACATTATGGTGAGTATGAATAATAATAGGAATAAAGTACACAATAAATGTTATGTGCTGGAATCATCCTGAAACCATTTCCCCACCCACCGTCCATGGAAAAATCATCTTCCATAAAACCGGCCAAAAAGGTTTGGGGACCACTGCTCTACACCATCTCCAGCACCCAACTCAGTACCGTAGTGGCTGTCAGATGGGTTTGCAACTTCATGGACACTCCTCCTCTCAAATTCTCCTTAAGTGG